>NC_000002.12:22358240-22509755 GCF_000001405.40 Homo sapiens | reverse complement strand
TTTTTTTTTTTAAATAAAGACACTCAGTACACTATAAAATAATAATAAAAAGTATAGTATAGTAAATACATAAGCCAGTAACACAGTCATTTCTTAACATTATCAAGTATTATGTACTGTACATAATTCTATGTGCTATGCTTCTATATGACTATGTGCTATGCTTCTATATGACTATGTGCTATGCTTCTATATGACATATAGGAGCATAATATATGCTTCTATATGTGCTATGCTTCTATATGACTAGCAGTACAGTAGGTTTGTTTACATCAGAAAACCACAAACATGTGAGTAATACATTGTATTATGACCTCATGATGGCTACTACATCACCAAGTGATAAGAATTTTTCAGTTCCATTATAATCTTATGGTACTACCATCATATATGTAGTCCGTCATTGACCACAATCTTAACAGGCGATGCCATACTGTACTAGCAACCCGTGAAACTGTTTCTCTGAGCCTGGCGTGTCATGGAATGGCCACTCAGAGATATTATGCTGTCTTTTTTCACTAGAGGGCTGCTTTCCTGGGAGGCTGCTCTAGGAGAGCCTTCTTAACAGGCTAGGCACTTGAGTTCTGCACCCCATCTTGCAGGAATCAAGGCACGTCCTGTGCACTTGAACTCTGCAGCCTTTTATCCTTTCTTCCAAAAAGTGAGCCAAGCTCAAACAAAGCTTTCTCCCACACTTGGATACCGTGGCAGTTGTTTTTCTCCAACCATCAGCAGTATTGCTTTGTTGACAATAGAGTAAATTCTAATGACAATGAAATCTGGATAGGAGAAGCTTCACTTATGAGCTGTGACCACTCCAGCACCATTCATGTCAGGAATACTTGAGTAAGCCACAAGGGAATTGGTGGGAAAAGGAATGAATGATGAGATGCCATAATGGAGTTTGTTTTTCATACCTCAATTTTGATATTAAATTGATATATTTGCCATTGATAACCAGGTATTTAAAAGGTCCAGGAGTTTTCTTCCCTTGTAAAACTTTATTTTGTATTCAAAAAGTGCACTGTATTATTGAAAGGTTCAGGAGTGAGTACATTAAATGAAATAATAACATGCACAATGTCTGGCCCACAGCAGGGGCTCAATATGTATGAAATAAATAAAGTTATGAATAAAGTAACACATGAGTTTCTAATTTTTGCAAATATTTCTGGCCATAGATATTTTCTAAGTGGATTTTAAAGTACGTACTTTTATAATTTTATTTTGCTAAATAAGATAGGAGTGTGCTTAATTTTGAGCACAAAGTTGAAGATTAATATTGAAGTGAGTGAGATCTAATTTCTTCTGTCAATTAGTTCAAAACCCGATGGCTCTGTAGGGTCAAATAAATTAAAAGTTAATATATAAAATGATTCATAATAGGCTATTATATATGAGAAACAATCTGGGGGCCAAGGACAGAAATGAGTAAACACCATTTCTTACCTGGGGAACTCCCAAACAGACTTTTACTAGAGAAGGACAAATAAAAGGACAAATCACACTAAGATACATCACACTCTATGATAAAGAAAGGCTAGCATGGCAAGTGGGCCCAGGTAAGCGAGCTCCTACCTCTTTCAGAATTATACACAGAGATTCTGATAGAAGTCACCAGGCAAGTATCTACTTATACAACTAGTGCTCCAAATGGAACAAAGCAGAGAGGTCACTAGCATGGGGCCTAACATTAGGGGCCAGAGAAGAAACAAGTGTGACGTAATGATGCTGAGGTTCTAGAGTTTGGGGCTGGGGATCTTTAATTGGCAGAAGTGAAATTAACCCTGCAGTATGACCTATGTGATATCAGCTGTGTGGATAGGAGGCCAGCAGAGCTTCCAGTAAGCGTAATCCTTAGATATGGTTTAAAATGTCCCAAGGACATTCTTAGCTCCAAACACTATTTGTGCTTCATTAACCTATGTTTACTTTCTAGATTGCACCTGTTGACTCCCCCCAGCCTACGTTTACAGGAAGATTCTCACATTCTCCCTTCCTGGTGAAAACTTAATAAACAAGATGGTAGTGTTTCTGTTTTGGTACAGAGGAGAAATGAGAATTAATTATCAGGGAAAATTTTCTTTGGAAAGCAGAAGCTCTACAGTAGAGAAAAGGGAAGTTGTTTTGACTGTCAACATCTCAGAAAGAAAGTGGTGGTAGCGTGTGATTATTCAGGGATGTAGCCTCCAGGGTTGGAAAATACTGGTCAGTTGAATGCAGCTTTAGAGTGCTGCAAAAAATACCCTCTGTGACTCCAAGCTTGGCTTTACAAACCTTTCAAGAACTTCCCTTCAAGAACTTCCCAAGTCCTTTAATCTCTATTGTGAACTTGATCTTTATTTTCATGTGTTAGATAAAGTGATGTTAGTTCCCCTTTAAGACAATATGGTGTGTCCTTCATTGTGGAACCAGAAGAAGAGATTACAATTCCATATTGAGAGGCATAATCTTTGCTTAAAAAGGAAAAAGCAGTGGTAGATCAAAATAAATTATCAGTAGGTATATAAAAAGGAGTTAAGTTATAGCAAACTCACTTAACCACATGCTTTTGTAGAAACAAGCAATGTTAAAAAGTTTTATAATGTGATGCGTTTGTCTGGTGTGGAAAATAGTGTGTTGTGTGTTTATACACAAGAAGAGAGTGCAGTTGTGTGTATGGGCCCCTGATAGCTTTGCGAATGAGAGCACTGTGCTTTCGAAACACCTCAAGGCAAATAGACAAGCAATACCTAAGCAAATACTATGCTTCAGTTTCCCAAATTTCCACTCAGGTTCTTTTCATTCCTCTTCTCTCACCTTTGAGATGTTTCTAGGGTAACTTCAATCTCAATCTCACAGACCTTTGCAAATCAGAGTCATTTTGGGGAATTTCTGGGGAGAATAGAAAGGAGCCAGTACTGTGTTCTGGTACTGCCTGCACAGAGGTGAGCAGGGAGCTAGGACTGCATTGGGAGAGAGGACTGTAGGTAGCACTGCGTGGGGTAGGGCTATAGTCAAGATTAAGGACAGCCTGGCTGTGAAGTCAGACCCTCCATCTGGCTTCTTTCTGGGCAGAGGACCTTCTGGGAACTTGGATGGGGAAAGCTATCCACCATGGCTCTCCATCCCTCCCTCACCTTTATAGGGTTCCCCGTAGGTCTGTGGGTCCCCTTTAAAGTTACACTACTCCCTAGGCACCCTCAGAAAGCATCTCCCTAGACACCAAATAGAACACAACTTTTTCCTGGGATGACCCCGTCTGACATTTTCTGGCCTGGATTATTGAGGTTAGGACCCCAATGACCCCTCTAAGTTTGGCTTTAGGGATCAGTGTATGCAGCTCTTCATCTTTCCCTAGTGTATTCCATGAGCACATCTAAAAGTCTCCCTTTTCAAGTGGTACATCAATATTAAGGTATGGAATGTTTTCCTAATAGCTGCATATACTAATTTTTAAAAATTCATTTTATAAACTCTTTTAAATGCACTTTCATATATAGAAGCAGACTTTAGATGTCTCCAAGTGATTTTCAGTTTTTCAAGTTTTCCCTTGACCTTTTAAAGAGATGCATTTTTAAAAAAATTCCTTTTTCTATCATCTGAAAATAGAACTAGCAGGGAGAGAGGGAAGATTTTGTAAGCATCAGAAAAAGTAAATGCAAAGAAATTTCTTTGTCGTTCTGTACGTCAGAATAATAAGGCATTATTATTTCCCTGAGCGCAGAGGAGAACTGAGTCTGAGAACTTTTGTTGCCCCAGGCAACAGTGCTTATGGAGGTCAAGATATGGTTTCTGAGGCTTCTGAAATTACTTTTAAAAAACACCTCCTATTCCCCATTAGGTGTAGAGCTGCAAAATATCAACAACGGGACTTGCTTTCTCTTTGAATAAGCTTTTCTACCTCTTTATCAGTTTCAGGAATGGACACCTGAGCTAGGCTCTGAGAGCCAAGAAAGAGATCTGCCATAGCTTTCCATCCCTCCTCCAACTTTATGTTTCTAATCCCAACAGGGTGCTCAGGATTATTTATTAAATGATACATAATTTTTCAGTGATTAAATGAATGAAACAATTCTGGAGACACATAGCAACTATAGAAAAGACAAATACATAGGGAGCCCAGGAAAGTGAAAAAAACAAATAGGGCTGGAGAGAAGGTGTTAGTCTTATGAAAACAGAAATGGTGACCAAGCCATAGATAGTCCACTCTATTCATTTCCCAAGAAGTTTCCTAAATTCCAGAATTATTTCAAACACCTTGTAAGAGAAGGCATTTCTCCTAGAATAATAAGATGTTTTGTTTGTGTTTGTGTGTGCACGTGCCAAAACTTACTTAGTTGAAAATTTTTCAAAGAGTCTGATAAAGGAAAATTGCTACACTTTGGTCCCTTTTTATATCTTTTTTTCTGGGGGTATTATTTTTTATACCTGGTGATTACGACATCTTCCTATTTGTCATCAAGAAAGTAATTATCTCTGTTTAACATGTAATCTGATCATTAATAAGAGTGTTAATGAAACTCAGTGGCTTATTGAGCTTTGGCACTTAATTTAAAGTTGTTCATCATTCCTAAAGCTAAGCATGGAGTGAGTCCAGATACCTCCAGATGTAGCCATGGATTTATATATACAAGGAGTCATCAAATCAATTTTTGTTAATGGCAAAACGAAGAATTCTATTTGGTAGGCTGTAGATGTAAACATACTATCCATCATTGACTTCATGATTTGGCCAGTCTTGAAGCTTTTTAAAATAGTTTTGTCTAACAAATTTTTTATTTAAGCCACCATCACAGAGGGGTGATTGAGCAAATACATTTACCTGCATTATCTCTTTTTCATTCCAACAGCAGCCACAGTGGGTATGTGTTATTATCTCCATTTTAAAAAGGTGAAGACTAAAGAGATAAAACAGTATGGCCAAGATCACAGTGCTTATAGATGGCAAGCCTCTTTCTCTTTAGTTTTCTTTAACAATTTTTTTTCTCTTTTCCTCTTCCCTTCCTCTCTCAATCTTTCTTATTTCATCTCTGCTCTCTCCATTTTCACTCATCTTTGTCTCTCTCTGACTCACTGTCTTTCACATTTCTTAATCTCTTCCTCCTCTTTCTCTCCTTCTGTACTACTCTTTCTTATTTCAGTCTCCTCTCTGTAACTCTCACTCATTTCCCTCTCTCTTTCCCACCTCATCTCCTTATTTAAAAATATGTATATATAGCTGTAATGAGAACAGGAGGGATCTCACTCCTCTCTGCCTCATTCAATGGTTAAAAGAGAAGTGGACTTTGGCTTTTTCTTAAAAACTTCTACATCTACTCTTGTAGAGCAGAGGCCTCAGGTTTAGGTGATGGGAATACCATCATATTTTAATGTGAATCACTTGCTGTAAATGCCCATAACCATGACCTTCTTCTTGGCTTTACATTTCCCAAGCAGTGTCCTTTCAGGCCATGCCATGGAGAGGTTTAGTTCTGGCATGAATAGTGACCCAAGTTTAGGAATCATAAGAGATTGGAGTATACTTTGGTTTCCAGGATATTCAGAAGCTGGAGTCAGAAGACTTGCTTTGAGAACTGTCTTACTCACTCTCCTCTCTCAGTCCATGTTCTTCTTCTGTAACATGGACAAAATGATACCTCTTCTGCCTACTTCACAGGTATGTCCTGAGGATCAAATTAAATACAGGCTATAAAAAAAACTTAAAAATGTCCTGCCTTGGAGTAAGGCAATAGCAGTTTCTTAAATAGGACAGAAAAAGCACTAATCATAAAAGTTAAAATGATAAATGAATTGTATTATGATTGACATCTCATTTCATATCATCAAAAGAAGGCACTAACAGAGAAAAAAGGCAACCCTCAATTGGGAGAAGTTATTCACAATATGCCTATCCAACAAGGGCTCCTATTCAGAAAATATAAAGAACTCCTACCAATCACACACACACAAAGACAGATTATTCTGTAGGAAAATATGCAAAAACTTGAACTCCTTGAAGGAGGATATCCAAATAGCCGATAAACAAATGAAAAGATGCTTAATTTTAAATCCTTAGGCACTTCACAATAGAGGATGTCAAATGATGAATAAATGTATAAAATTGTGCTCAGTCAGGGAAATGTGAATCAAAATGTAATAATGTGTTTATACTACTACACTATCATCAACACTGCTTTTTTAAAAAAATGACCCTAAACACTGTGTGTTGGTGTGTGTGTAGGACCTTGGGACACTCAGACAGTGATGATAAGGGCTTACATTCTTAGAGCCATTGACTTTAAACTACTGTTGGGTGTATGTACTCCAGTTGAACATACATACACTGTACATCCTATGACTTAGCAATTCCATTTCTGGTATTTTCCTATAAAAATTTATACATATTCACCAAAAACCCTGCATAACAAGGTACATAGCAGAACTATTAATAATACCATAAAAATAATTACCCAACTATCCACCAACAGGGAGAAAAAAATGTGGTTTATTTGTACAATGGAGTGCTACACAGCAATGAGAATGAATGAACTACAACTGCATACAGTAATATGGTTGACTTTCAAATACAGCATTGACTGAAAGAAATAAGATATGAAAAGATAAATATCCCATTATTTCACTTATATAAAGTTCCCAAAAAGACAAAATTAATTGGTGGTAATAGATGACAGTTAGTTTTCTATCAACTCCTGGAATAGAGGATAGTGACCGTGAGGCCAGCAGGGGGATTTCAGTGGTTCTAGTAATATTCTTTCTTTTGAGCTAGGGAGTTACTTAGATGAGTGTATTCAAATCCTGAAAATTCAAATAGCTGAACACTTGTGATCTGTGTACCATGCTGTAGATACATTACATTTCAATCCAAAGTTTTTAAACAATGCTGTTCCATAAGATGGGTGGGATTCAGGTACAACGGGGATTTTTTTCTAGTGGGAAGAAATACATATTACTTATCAGAAATTCTATGCATGGGAAAGATAAATTATGACCTGTTTCTAGTCGAGGAAAAAATTCAGGCTAAGAAAAATTCATGTATATTTGAACTCAATGGGGATGAATCAGGAAATTGAAGAAAGTAGAATATTTATGGTATGTTCTTAGATTGAAGTATAAGCAAGGCTGGCTGGAAACTGAAGGAAAGCTTGGTTGGCGTGAGGTTCTGGTGAAAATCTACTTTGAGTTTGTATTGAATTCTGTGTGTAATATATAGAGAGATAGACACAATTAAAGAGTTTCATCAGTTCCTGTCATGGAAGAAGAAACCACAAGACAGGGTAGAAGGATGAAGGACTGAATATGGGTCTGAAATCCCACATGAAATGAAGGGGAGAGACATGATGGAGTAAATGACAGTTGGTGCAGAGATATAGCCCTTGGACATGAAGCTACTGAAGTCTGTAAATTCTTTTTTATTAAACCAAACTATCATATATTATGACAGAAATTAAACTCAACATCTGTTCTAAGAGTTTTCACAGAACTGGGACTTCATTATGAGTATATATATTTGTCCACATACACCATATATATGAACAGTGAGGAATCTCATCTATTCTCACATTAATATGTGGCAGAACTGTAATTTTTGTTTTTTTTAAGACTTGTTTAAAAACCTGGCGGTCTTCTCTTCCTTCCCAGCCAAAATGGAGTAGTAGATTGCACTCCATTTATGAACCAGCCATACATTAACTTGCAGCGTGGGTAGGATTACCATAAATTAAGGCAAAACTACAACACTAAGCAAAAGAACAGAATGTGTTTGGCAATGGGCTATCCTTGACTTTGTAATCATTTGTTTTAATTCTAATCTGCACACTCCAGTAATCCACCAGCCAAAGAGGCTTGTGAATTAGCAAGGTTTTGCTGTTTATAAAACACTTGCATAAATATATGTGGAGACTATGTTTGCACCCAGGGTGTGCATTTTTGTGTGCAGATGCATCTGTGTGGGACTGGGCACAGTTCTGGATGTCTTGGGGACAATGGGAATGTGTAGGTCTGGGTATCTGTGTGTTGTGTTGTACATCAGTGTGTGAGGAGGAGTTGGGAGTTGTCATGCATACAGCTATGCTGGCAAGAATTTGCTAACGAAGGATTGAGACACCCAGAGGTTTGTGAACTCACTGCCTAGTCTACTTTATTACAATAAGTGTAAATTTGGAGCAGACAATGACATTGGGGATGTTTTGTAGAAGAGGTTACAGTGAGAAGAGGTGAACTGCTTAGAGTCACATGGATATTGGAGATAGGATACAGATTCCTCCTGAAAATAACTGCAAAATGAGTTTGTTTTCAAGTCCATTGAGTAACACTAGCTCTGAAAGTAATCCAAATCAGAAGTCTAAAACTTGAAGACAGGCAATCCCCATCTAGGGCATCCTTAGTGTCACTTCCTTTGTTTGCTTTGCTGTGGTGAAATGATGGCCATTGTCCTACTTACCAGAGGCAGTGGGGACTAAAGACTGAAGCAGAGGGAGAATAAAGGAGGCATTTCTGTCGGTCTGTTTTAACTCACAGATCTTGGTATTGGTGGGGTGTGTATATGCCAGTGTACCTCCACGTGACCATGCCTGGTTTTAGGTATACAGAAACTAAGTATTAAAATTACTAAGTAGCGGACTATATTCTACGAGGTCAAGGTCATAAAAGACTTTCCCTGCCATACTTAGTTATGCATGAAATTCTTCTAAAAAGAGGAAAGAGCTTTTTATTCTACATGATGGGGATTAGCAATTGGGTTCCCTAAGAACCCTGGAGTTTGCTGAAGGGGTAAGAAACTGATGTAAGAACACAATCCTAAGAACAGGGCTAAAGACTGAAGAAAGAAGAGAGTATGGTGATACTAGGAATAGGGAAAGCATACGAAATGGAAGCAGGGCCCATAAGCTAAGTTTTAGTGATGCAGAGTTTGCTGAGTGTTGGCTCTGTGTGTGTGAATGTTGGGCATGTACACACATGAACACATATTGAATATATAAATTATCAGCACATTTTCTCTGTTGTGAAGTATTTAAGTGCCAAGATATAGGTGGTTCTTGGAAGTACTTGCAGAGCATATGCTGTGCTGTTCCACCATCTGTACCAGCCCTTTGGACCAGATTCTGTTGCTTTGCTTTGGGGCAAGAAAGAAGGAAATGAGCAGATTTCTCCCTCATTTGTGGTTCTTCTGCCCCTACCAGCTCATTCCTGTGACTCTACCACCAATGGGTCTCATTCACCCTTCTCCCTGTGGTGCACTTGAAACTTGATCTTTCACAGTGAAGAAATGGCTCTGTTGTCACCTACAAGGGGAAAATTCCATCCTTTCAGACAACACTGCAGAGGCAACTCTGTTCTCAACAACATATTTGTGCAAACTGTTTTCTAGAACATTATGTCTTTTTCTCTCCCCTAAGGACCTCATGAATACCACTCCCAGCTGCAATTTCCTTCCTAGCCTTGCTGGATAATCTGGCCAAAACTAGATCTGATCAGTGTCTATGCACAACTTATAAAACAAAATCTAAATCCTTTATGTAGCTAGATAAAAATACTCGTGACCAGGTTTTGCCTACCTTGCTGACTCTATGTCTCACTATTAGACATCTTCTCTTGTCCCTACCACTAGGATGTATGTGAAGTTACACAAATTTGTCATGCACTTTGGATGCCAAATACATTCTTTCCTTAGCCTGAAAGGATGTGAGGCAGTAGGCATCCCTCCCCAAGCCCCCACCTCACCAAGCTTTCCATCCCTGATGCCTCACATCTGGCCTTGTAAAACACCATAATCCTTCAAACTTTTCTGGCTGAGTCATGGAAAGAGAGAGACTTTTCCATTTGTCCTCTAAAAATAAAAAAGCTTTTTTTTTTTTTTTTTTTTTTTTTTTTTTTTTTTTTATGAAAACAGGGAAAAAATAGAAAGGAAAAAAAGCATGTGACAAAACCTAGAATTTATTAAATTCTACAAAATGGGTTTCTTACTAAAATAACTTGCCCCCGAAGGGCTTAGCTATCCCAGTTTTCTCATTCCAACCCTGCCTTGGCTGACCCAGGGCATAAATAGATTTCCTGAGACCTTGGCCAGCCTTAAGCTGCTGTCTTGGGAGTCTTTCTCCCACACTCCAAGGGACATTGCTGATTCATAGTGCTTGTTCTGGGAATTTGAAAAGGGCAATCAGAAGTTACACTGCATGATTTTTCATCTCTATGCTCACACAGAGGGCTGTGATAAGGGCATTGAGTAAGATGACCTCCAGGATTCTCCCTCCTTGGTCTTCTCTCCCTGGAATCCTCCCCAGCATCCTAATCTCATTTTTAGTTTTTCCACCATGCGGCTGAAACTTGCTTTTCCTGTGTCCTCTAGGTGATACTCGCATGACCAAACTTAGAGTAGAGGAGACACACTTAGTAATTAATGACTATCTGGGGTATCTTAATGACGTAGTTTGTCATATGGAAAGAGTGATGAGATGGAAGACTTGAAGCACCACTTGTGGGGTGATAAGATCCATTCTCCTCTTGGCTGCCTCTTGGTTGCCATGGCAACACCATTGCTATAGGGCTCTGTGACTGTGTGAGGGGGTTGCAGGAATAAATTTGTGGCAGCCTTTGGGAGTCAGTCCTGATGCTGAAGGATCTCCCTCCTTCCCCTGAGTAGCATTTCCTCTGCTCCCATCAGTAAAGGGGGAGAATGTGAAATTGCCCTTTTGAAGACACTGGTTAGTATGGTTCAAAGGCTGTGGTTAATGCATGGTTGTGAAGAGCTGAAAACTAGAAGAGCCAAACAGAAGTTCTCTGCTGCTGAGGACTGGCATTCATGGCAGTGAAGAGTGAAGTTGGGATTCAGACAGTAAACATCGTAGGAAATTTTGATGCATGGAGACCGCGTCATTCTCTGGAGCACTGGGTGATGGAGCAGAGCTGGCTCTTTAATTCCTCGCTTGCCCTGGGCTGGTGGTTCTCAGGATGGGTCCTGCCTCTTTTTCACTTTCATATATATATATTAGCTCTACTTCTTATTCCAGTCCATAGGCATGTTCACTGTATTCCAATTCCAAGCAGGGCCATGGTTTCTGAGCTTTCACTATTTTTTAACCAAATGTATAATTCTGCAGGGACTATAAGGCATGTTGATGTGAGTATCTCACTCAATTATGGGGTCATCTCTGCTTCTTGCTCTCAGTTGCTGTATCTACTCTCATTGTGTAGGATGCCTATACTTTAAAATATATTGATTTATTCAGCTTGGTTCCTCTTAGGAAGAGCATTGTGAGAATTTTCAAAAACATTTTGATAAATACTTTGAAATGGCAGATGATATCCGATAAGAAGGGCACAAGTAGTGAACTGCAGTCATGAAACAGGCTTCTAAGGAGAGTGGTGACAACTACTCGGAGGGCGTTAATTTCACTCAGTCCTATGAGGTAAGGAGGGAATGCTGGTCAGAATTTACAGAGATGAATTACTCCACATACAGAAAAGAGGAAAACCAGTAATTCAGGGAAATCCCAGACTGGAGAATAGAAGAACCAGAAAGCAATTTAGATGCTAGAAACAAGAATGTATGAGAAATGGAAAGAGAAACTTCCCTCAGCACCAGTGTACAGCTTAGAAGGGGTGTTTGATACTGAGACAAGAGTACAGATCATGTAGCAGAGCCCTGCCCAAGACTTCATGGATCTTTGCTACAGAACTCAGAATGTGACTGGTGTGACTGGATTCACTGAGAAGACTGTTGAAGGTTGGAGTTCTACTTCCTGGTTCACAGGGGCAGGGGACAGATGCCATCTCAGGAAGTGAGGAGAAGGTCGGAGTTCTACTTCCTGGTTCACAGGTGCAGGGCACAGATGCCATCTCAGGAAGTGAGAAGAAGGTTGGAGTTCTGCTTCCCGGTTCACAGGAGCAGGGGACAGATGCCATCTCAGGGAGTGAAGAGCAGACTGTAGCCATGCAGCCAGGGCCAGCACATCTGCTTGCCGCATGAGGTTGGAACACAGAAGCTTCCAGGAGAGATAGCCTTCCGTCTCTTCTTTGATTATTTGGTC
The DNA here is from genome assembly GCF_000001405.40 of Homo sapiens. Taxonomy (NCBI): domain Eukaryota; kingdom Metazoa; phylum Chordata; class Mammalia; order Primates; family Hominidae; genus Homo; species Homo sapiens. The sequence goes on along the minus strand of NC_000002.12, from coordinate 22,497,747 downwards.
ACTGGTAGTTTGGGGCACATGCAGCACCATTTCCCTATTTAATGATATCAACAAAGAGGCTGATTTTACTCATCTTAAGGTGTCACAGACAGATATTGTTCAGGATTATTAAAAATGTTACTCTGTAGTTATACAGTAGCTTAAGTGTTATAATCTCACCCAATGCCTCCTTAAGATTAGTCCCATGTTCTCTTATTAATCAATCTCTAGCATGTTATTCAGTCTGCTTTTCATAAACCAAGATGGCAAAAATAAAATTGTAAATCCTCTAAGTCTGTATAATGCAAAGTAGCTCCCTTATATTCTCTCAATTATACTAAGCAGGTCAGAATGTTTTTGCCTATTTTCTAGCTGAGAACATGTTGAGCATATTTTCTGAATAAAAACATCTAATTTTAGCAAGTGTTATTTTCTGGTATATTAATCCATTTATATGGAAAATCCCAGACATAAAAATTAAATTGATTTATGTATATATTTGTTTAATCAGCAAAATATATATACATATATGTGTGTGTGTGTGTATATATATATAAAGGATATAAGTGCCTAAACCTAAGATAGAATATAGGGTTGGTTTATCTGCCACACACACGGTTTAACTGCCAGTCTAGTATAGAATTAGATCATTTGTCTCTTGTTCCCTGCCTGTGCACTCAAGAACTGTAACTCCTACCTTCTTGTTCACTGTCAGCCCTCCCCTGAAATTTTATTCCTGGTCTCTTCGATTCTCAATCAGCATTTCTCTGACCTGTATTAGAAAAAGGTGATATGTAGATTCCTCCTTCTGGCAAATGGTATAGATCCCCAATCTCATAAATTGATTTATTACTTTTTGTGGAGTACATATTTGCATTTTAGAGGATTTGTGGAAATCCCATTGGAGTCAGTTTGCTACTGAGAGAATATAAATCAAAGTTTAGCAGACCACCCAACTTTTGGTGACCAGATGATACAGCAACTAAGATGCTTGCCCTAGGCCCCTTTAGGTTTTATTATCACTTTGGAGCTACTTTGCTAACTGGAATTTTTGTATTTACAGACAATACTTTTATCTTTGGGTCCTCCAATTGAATTGGAGATATAGGATCTCAAAATCTCTCTTAGGGGCCACTTAAACTCAAATACCTCGAGAGTCATTTCAAAAATACCTTCTGAAGAGGACAGAGGGTAGTGAGGACCATGAAAAAGGTGGCAAATGAGAGTACACATATCCACATATAAACATTTAAACTTATAAATATGCATTTAAAAAATAATATACTGTAGAACCATCCAAACAAAGCAAACCTATAGCCATAAGGAGTCAAAAAACCTCCAGTTTAAATGCCTTCAAATATTATCTGGAATTGAAAATTAATTTCAAAGTTGAAAGGGAAAAATCAGAAAGGCCCACAGATGAGTAGCCCAACTTTGATGCTTTAGTCAGCAATGAGTCTTGTAGATTGATGTGCAGTGCATTCTGTTGAAGGCCTATCAGCCCACTAAGGCCTGGTGGGAACCTTGAATTATACACTGTGCAGAGCCAAGGATCAGAATAGGCATCAAAAGAAGACATATTTCTTATCTTCTCTGAACCTGTGCTTGCAGGAAAGAGAGGACAATGAGGGCGATGACACAAGGTCAGAGGACAATCCCTTAGCCAAGTATTTAGGAAAATAGTAATTCAGAGTTGAGCTCAGAATCTTGAACAAATGGCTTGGGGTAAAACATGTTTTCTGTCTGAATACTGTCTTACTAAATTTTGTGTTAAACTTGTCAATGACATAAGTAATTTTGAACTATGGGATTTATTTTTTACATTTAGATTCACATCTTCAATATGGTACATTAGAGCTTCAACCTAACCACTATCAGATTCCACACTGGGAATAGTTGGGATAAGAGGTTATCAAATAAACAATTAGAATCATAAGGGAGGAGAGAAGGTGTTATTCTAGTGGTGTTGCTTCAGGGGATATGTTTGTTAGTACTTGGCTTCGATGAAATGTGCGCATTCAATTTGGGAGATCTTGTGAGGCTTTTTAAAGTTTAATTGCTGCAAATCTCTTGTTATCATGGTTTCCTGTGAGATTTACACAGTCCTAAATGCTTTCCAGTTTGAAAATTATTCTTTCCCATATTGTTTTGCCTGAAAAAGTAGGGTGTGCTGAAATATACAAAAGAATAGCATTCCTTCCCAAGAGCCAGGAAAAATGTGTATTAGTTTGCTAGGGCTGTCATCACAAAGTACTATAGACTGGGAGGCTTAAACAACAGAAATTTGTTTTCTCACAATTCTGGAGGCTGGGAGTTTGAGATCTAGGTGTCAGCAGATTTGGTTCCCTCTTTGGCCTCTCTCCTTGGCTTGTAGATGGCCGCCTTCTTGCTATATACTCACTTAGTGTCTCTTCTGTGAGTGTGCGTACTTGGTGTATCTCTTTGTATGTCCAAATTTCCTCTTCTTAAAAGGATGTCAGTCATATTGGATTAGGGCTCCCCACAATAGCTTCATTTTAACCTGATCTTCTCTTTAAAGCCCCTACCTATCTCGAAACATAGTCATATTCTGAAGTACTAGGGGTTAGGACTTCAGCATATAAATTGGAGGACAAGGAAAACAACTCAGCCCTAAAAAAGTACAATTGCCTTCATGGTTAGACTGAATGACAGGTGAGGTCTCTTCTAGGTCTCTCCACATAGGATTTTCTGAAGCTAGAACTTGCTTCATTGATGGTTTCTTAAAAAACAGATGAACATGTATAGAGCTGGTTTCACATCTATCTTTTTGCACTACATTGGCCATATCACACCAGCTTTCCTCGAAGAACTGGGCTTGAGACATGACTTCCTGTTTTATGAGCTGTCTCCCTACTCTCACCATCATCCCCAATCACAAACTCTTCTAATTCCTATGTTAGTCAGAAAAGAATATCAAATAGGGATGATAAAAATATAGATTGTTGAGAGGAGAGGCTGCAGTGAAATATTTTCCTTACGGGAACTTTAATGTGTTAACACGTCTTCATGAGAAATGATGGTTCCAGAACAAAAGCACTGGGGTTGGAGCACAGGATAGAGATGTAAGAGACATTTCTAAGGTAAAATTCTAATATGATGACTTATTAAATATGGCATATAAAGAGCAAGGCATCTAGAATACCTCTGTGGGTTCTTCTTCTATGGATGGTAGAGCCATTTACAAAGATGACTAGCAAAGAAGGGAGTTTACTTTAAAAGTTATCCAAAAGCATATACATATAACTGTGCACTATATATGTATATATATCTATTATATGTGTGTGTGTATATATGTTTATAACCACAGACACATTTTTTAAACTGTGCCAGCTAAGCAGAGCTTCTGCAGTATTTCAAAGAAGCCCAGTCACAGAGTTTGACTTCTTTAATGGTTAGCAGACGCATAGCCCAAGGCTAAGGTGCCCTAGAGCTGTTCTGTTTTAAATAGATAAATGCAAGAACTTGGCTTGTCCATATAAAAACACGTGGCATTCATATCCTAGGTGAAATAGCATGCACTGTGAGAAAACGAATCATATGAGTAAGGTTCCAGACACATAGAATTAAAAAATGTATGTATTAAATTGCAGGATTATCAATAATGCAGTTTTTTAGTTTTTTGGAGCAATTGCTTTTTATCCACAGATAATGATCACTGCTCCACATAACTAATTGATAATAAATAATGTGTGGAAAAGGGTGTGGAATAAAACATTCAGAGCAAACATTCCATTTTGTGATTAAGGATCATTAGATGCATTAACTGCCTTACTAATGAATGCATTGTTAATTACTTGTTAGCACTTTGGCCAGGCAAATTACTTAGAACACTGCTGACTCTTGTGAGAAGATATGTTGGCAGTAAGAAATGGAAATATCAGGGAACATTTACAGAAACAACAAACTCCTAAGCTCAACTTTATCCAAGATGACATCAATTTTTTTGCTGAATTTTTATGCAAAATCCATCCATATAAGTTGATTGTTAATACACAAATGTGGTAGAAGGCGAAGGATGGGCTTCTTGGTTTGGGTTAGTAAATGGGTTCATTTAAGGGAAAACAAAGTCTTCTGTTGCCACAAAGACACATTCCTGCATGTGAGTTAAACATAGCTGCTAAGCCCAACTTTATGGGAAAGAATTCAAGGGAGAGCTGAAGATAGAAGAAAACAGCTTTATTGAAGAGGCAGTGTTACTACAGCTTTGTGACTGCTCTGCCAGAGCAGGGCTACCCCGTAAGCAGAGAGTAGCAGTCACATTTATACCCACTTTTAATAACATGCAGATTAAGGAGTAGTTTATGCAGAAATTTCTAGGGAAGGGGTAGTAAGTAACCTTTGGGTCATTGGGCCATTGCCTTGGAAAGGGGTGGTAACTCCCGGGTGTTGCCATGGCAGTGTTAAATTAACATGGCACACTGGTGGTTGTGTCTGATTGGAAAACTGCCTCCTCCCTCATCCCTATTTAGCTAGTCCTCAATCTGGTCCAGTGTCCAAGCCCCACCTTTGGAGTCAAGTCCTGTCTCCTACCTGAATACTACTAAGTTTCATTATCATTAAAACCAAATTGTACCACTCAGAGATACTTTAAATATAAGTGCGGAATGACTTGTCTCTTCCAATACCTCTATAACATTTACATTTAGTTCAAGTGTCTGGGATCAATTTCAACGTTGAAACATGATGAAGCTGAAAATTGCAGACTATGCCTAAACCAGCCCTCATGTAACCAACTCACCAGAATAACATAGTTGGGCACTCCATCTGTAAACATACAGAGCAGTGTCCACGGTGCTCTTGGTCTCATGGACTGCAGGCTCCTCTCCCCTGTTCTGGTGCAAACCGCTCCCACTCTTTGTAATGTCCTTACTATGTCTCAATAAATATGTTTAGGCTGGTTGCCCTTGCCACTGTAATTGCATGGCTCAATGAACTGATATTGGATAAATATCAGTTAAATCACTAAGTCATTAATTGCAAAAAAAGTTTCAGATTGTTTTTCTAGGAAGCTAAGGTGCTAAATAATTGTTGTCAAACTCTGGTAAGACAACCAAAAAAGGTAAGGAAAAAGATTGGAAAATTCTAGGATTATGAGCTCTGATGTCCTCTTCATAGTCTTTGCAATCTCCCTCTCATTTAAAGACATCATAAAATGAAATTGTAGACCATGTATCATAAATGTGGCTTTCAGAAGAAAACTTTGCGGAACTGTCATCAGAGGACCTGAGCACAACAAAAAAGCCTGGCTGGGCTTGGTGGCTTATGCCTGTAATCCCAACAGTTTGGGAGGCCAGGGTAGGAGGATCCCTTGAGTCCAGGAGCTTGAGACCAGCATGGGTAACATAGAGAGATCCTGTCTCTACAGAAAAAAAAATTTAAAAAAAAGCCAGCATGGTGCTGTGCACCTGTGGTCCCAGGTACTCAGGATGCTGAGGTGGGAGGATCGCTTGAGTCCAGGAGCTTGATGTTACAATGAGCTATGACTGTGCCACTGTACTCCAGCCTGGGTGACACGGTGAGACCCTGTCTTAAAACAAAAACAAAAACAAAGACAGAAAGAAATAACAACAAGAAAAGGCATTGGCCTTGCATCATAAGCATAGTTAATGAATGCACATTTATATATCTTAAGTGAAAACACAATGTTTAAGCAGTAAGTGTTTATTTAAATAACTCTGCTTTACAGCCTTTTAAAATTAATTGGCCGGTTACTGACTTTGAATACTCTAGATTGGAAGAGTTTCTATTGTATATGGAAAGTGAAAAACAACAGTGTACAAAATATTTACATTATAATCCTACTTTTAAAACTGCATATGCAAGCATGTATATGTATTTTTAGAAAAAAGCGGATGAGAATATTAATATTTAATGTTGGGTGCCATGTTTACTCCTGGCCTTTATTTTCTTTGTTATATTTTTCTACAGTAAAATTTCCTATAATTCTCTCCTATTACATTTATAATGAGATTATCAACCTGTAAATGCTATTTAACGCCCTGTGTTTTCAGCTCTTCTGTCTCAGACTCTATCCTCATATCTCCCACCAGAGGCATTTGACCATTCCTGAAGACAGAGTGCTCAGAACCTCCCACAAGACAACGTTCGCAGCAGGGCTGGTCTGTGCGTCTTCCTGGATCACATCCAGGGGCTTCATTCCTAAGGACCTTTTTAAATGTGTCCTCATTTACAAAGTTTCTTCTTGGCCCCAGGAAAAACTCAGAGATACGGTCTCTGAGTTTCAAAGACAAAAAACAAAAATTCTCCCTTTGCTTTGTTTTAGTTTGCCACAGTCACCATGGTTTGCTGATAATTGAGGCTATAGAAAATCTAAGTACTTGGAACCCCAGCAACATTTATAAACATTTTGAATTGTTATAGTTTATAGCCTTTTCCCCTTGCAGTCATGTTCTGAAAAAAGGAAAAAAAAAGGACATTAGTTGAACCTGTTCTCTGAAACTGCATGTGTGACTTGTTTTTAATTATGGTTGAATATATTGGGGAAAAAATGACTTCCTGTTTACTTCAGGAAGACTAAACTGATATCAGGTAAACAGCTGTAACTAATGCTGACAACATAGACGAAGGAAGACAGAACTTTTGCTGTAACTCTAAGAGCATCCCAAGAGGGGTTAACATGGAGACTGTTGCCTTGGGCCTTGTAACTTATGCCATATACAAAATGCTGGGGAGCAGAGCTCAAGAGAGCAGGCAAGACATCCAAAATATTGCCCAGTATGTTCTAAGAATCCACCTGGTTTTGGCACCCAGCAGACGTGGCTATTTTCAGAACTCCTTGTCTGATTATGTTTACATCTGAGTTCAGTTTAATGTTAATTGTCCTATAATGTGTTGGCATTTTTCTGCTTTAAGGCACTGGTAACAGAAGATATGTTTCTCCCCCACACTCACCCCACCGTTTTCCAATATCATCATATCTTTGTTTCTGATTGCCTTACAATCATAGGGCAGGTCTGAGGAAATAAGAAAGTGGTCAGGGGTCGGAGACTCCTCGCAGTCACTTATTCAGTTCTGTGCTTCTTAGATTTGTTCACCCTGGCCACAGGGCTTCTGACCCTCTGAGTCTGGTCTTCTATCTGCCATCCATAGGTTGAGTATGAGGATGAAATTAGTACTTACGGATATTGAGTACATAAGTAATTTACATGTGTTTCTTAGAATAAGTCTCACAACAAACATAAAGACTGTTATCATTCTCATTTTGATGTAGGTGAGGCTTCAGATCAGATTGAAGACTGGTTGAAACAGGGAAGAGGCAGGGAAAGCAGCATCCCTCCATAAAATATGCCCACCAGTACCATGACAGTTTACCATTGCCATGGCAACATCTGGAAGTTACTGCCCCTTTCCATGGCAACACCAAGAAGCTACCAGCCGTTTTCTAGAAATTTCTGAATAACTCACTCCTAAATTTGCAGGAAATTGAAAGAGTTTAAATATGACAGTAGTACTGCCCTTACGCTGCTACTCTGGGCACACTGCCTGTGGGTTCTGCTGCTGCCACACACTGCCCCTTCAAATTAATAGTTGGTAACACCACCAGCTCACATTTAAATTCTTTCCCAGGTGAAGCCAAGAACCCTCCTGGGCTAAGCCCTAATTTTGGGGCTTGCCTGCCTTGCATCAGTTTCACTATTGAGAAAACTGAGGTTCAATAGGCTTACAATCAAATTGTCTATGATCACAAAACCAAGAAGCATCATAGCCGGGGTGTGAACCTAGTTCAGTTTGAAAAGTTCTAAGATGTTGTTGTTTGTACACTTCATGTTCAGCTGCACTATATGGAACTGTCCCTTTATACGTGGCTGGGCTGCTCACCCAGGGTACAGAAAACACAGAAAAGTGAACTGTCCACACCAACCCTCACCTGGGGATGTCACTCTTCCTTTGTTCTACTCTACTCTCCCTTCTCCATCTTTGACTTTAAGTCTTTACCCTTTATTTTTATTTATTATTTAATTTTTATTTTAGTTTCAGGGCTACATGTGCAGGATTGTTATATAGATAAATTACACGTTGTGGAAGTTTAGTGTACAAATTATTCTGTCACCCAGGTAATAATCTATAGTATCCCAATAGGCAGTTTTTTGATCTTCACCCTCCTCCCCCCTCTACCCTCAAGTAGATCCTGGTGTCTGTTGTTACCTTCTTTGTGTGCATATGTACTCAGTGTTTAGCTCCCACTTATAAGTAAGAACACACACTATTTGGTTTTCTGTTCCTGCATTAGTTGGTTAAGGATAATGGGCTCCAGCTCCATTCATCCACATGAGAGCAGAGCAAATGGGCTACTTCTAGCCTACCATCTTGACCCAAACCCCCAGGTTTTACTCTTCTTGTTTGCAGTGAGATATAAACTCTATTACCTGGCAGTATTTTTTTTAAAGTAACCTTAGAGGTATAATTTACATGCAATAAAATATTCATATTGTAAACCTCCTCCTCCAACCTCCTGCCCTACCCATAGTGAGCACTAAAATCACAGGGCCTCCCTATTCCATGAATAATGTACCAGAGTGTCCTAATACAACCCAAGACAGAATCACTGGTTCCAGGAAACATCTTGTGGCCATGGAGCCACGATCCTTCCCCTTGCATGTCCAGGAACTCTCTACCAGGATTCATCTATGGCCTTAACATTAACTGTGGCTTTAAACATTTGAGATCCTCACGTATTTATCCCTTTACCGTACAATTTACTTCCAGATGCCAATGATCAAATTGTTGCTTCTTTGAATATTACATGATTTTTTATTTCTTAATGACTACCCCTGCCAATCTGGTGACCACCACCAGAACACACCAACACATTTCAGTTAGTTTATGACTTCCACCTGTAATAAGGAGAGATGGAGCCACAGAATTCAGAAACAATAACTTGAAATATAGGAAGAGATAGGTCTTGTGACTAATATCACATTTGGCTATATTTTCAGAAGTGTTATGAATGGTACTATAAGTAAAAATTGCATTTTTATCAGGAGGTTGAAGGGTTTTTTTTTTTTTGATGCCTACAGAAAATGAAGTTGTCATTTTGAAGTAATATAAACAGTTTGAAGCTGAATGATCTATGCAGCTTTCACCAATAGCAAATACCCTCTGTAGAGTGTATATTACAATGTAAAATGTAGGATATATTGTCATTTTTATTATAATATAGAAGCAGTGGCAACACACTCTGCTGTGCTCACAGCTGTTTCAATCTGTCCTAGAAATTGCCAGGTTTTTCTGATCATCTTTCCTTCACTAAAATCCACAGGAAAATAGGATCAGTTCCCACATGGGCATCAGGAACTACAGGACTAGTCTTGGTGATGAGACAAGAATTCGCACCTTGCAGAATCCCCATATGGCCCCAGCACATGGACAAATCTTTGGGGTGTCAAAATGCAAAGGCTACCTTTCAGATTCTAGGCTATCCTTGTAGCCTCCTTGGGGTTCACTGGGTGTAAAACATAAGGAGATTTTAGCCATGATTTCTATGAGGGAATCCGGCCAAACTGGAAAAATTATAGGGAATTTCCCAAATTTCTTGTAGAGAACTCTAAATTCAGTGGAGGGTTCTGAGGTGATGCATGGGTTTTTAACTTCTTGCACCAAGGGCAGCACTGTACCCTTGATTCCTGACTTAAATAATCAATAGTATATTTTTAGAAAAAGAAAACATGGGAATCCTTTCCTAAATAAGATGTAAAGTTTAATTTATACTCTACTTGTTGAGAGTGGGCTACTTCTCACCTCAAGAAATTGTGAAGCAATCTGAAGCTGCGAACACCAAAATCATTAGTTCTAATTGTTATACTTCATACACAAAAGTGCTAGAGGATCATGCGGCAGGCAGTGATGAATTAAGGCAACGTTGGAAATGCGAAATTCCAGCTCTCCCCTGAATCCAAAAAGTATTAATGCTTATGTTTACAATGTGCTTGCATCTGCATGAAGAATGGCCTTGTTTCAGTAATCCTGATGTCTACAGCTGCAGTTGGGCTGCATCTATTATCTATCCTGCATTCCTCTCTTGACTGATGCCTTCAATCCCTTTGTCACTGAGACAGAAGAATGCCACACTAACCTTCTGTTTCAGTATGATAGCTGTGTTTCATTCAGAATTCAGTGCAATTATATAAAACCAGTGCTCTATCCACAAGCTTTTTTCTTTTTTTTTTTTTTTTTTGGTGTTGGGGGTTATTAGTAGCTCTGGTTTCCACAATCATTGAATAATCTGTCATCTCAAAATCTTAGCCTCACAATTCCCCTTTTAGGTAATCACTCAGTTGCAAGATATGTTTTTCTTAGATTGTAGAAACTGGGCTTGTGGCTACAGCTGCCCTGTCACCCTCTGTGGAGAATGGACATTCCACATGTGCTGTGCTTCAAAAGTAAGGGCCAAAGAGTGGGGTCTGGGCTTCTGTGCCACAAAAAAAATATTCAGAAAAGCAGATGAAGGCAGAGACACCAGAAGCGTAGTAATTAACCATGGACCAGGGGCATTCATGAGTCACCTTGACAGACAGAACCTTGCTGATAACCTGATTACCTCACTCATCTCCTGGAGATAGAAAACTAGAGAATCCATAGGGGATTGGTCCTCTGGGTTCTCCTAGCCAGAGGAAGGTCAGCTTCGAAGACTCTAGTTTGTTAAGGAGAGATCCAAAAGTCATTTAAACCAGAAATGCACAGATAGGAGTGGGATAAGGATTAAAATATTTTAAAGAGGTAAAATTCATTGCCTGAATATAACAATGTAGAATCTCAGACCTTCAGAAGTTTTAAAATAAATGTCCTTGAATTTAGACTTAGTGCATCTTCTTAAAGAAGTTAATTATGTCTGAGAATAAAGATTTATCTCATCAAAAACACTATAGCACTCTTCACAACTTTTAGTTGTTTTTCAGTTATAATAGGAAGGAAATGTTATTGTAACATTCTAGTTAAATTAAAGCACATCTTTTAAATAAGCTTTTTGGAACTTTTTTAAATTATTATTTTCTATTTTAGGTAACCAAGAACATCAAAAGTACTAAATTGGAACTATGAGTGCCAATCTGGAATAGTTTGTTTATTAAAACTGGCTCACTTAGATGTGGTGTGGGAAAGGCAGTTCCACTGGGCTTGGTCTTATGAGTAAGCCTAGGGCTGGTGCGGCTGGACAAGCTAAGAGGCACTTTAAAAGGTGAACTTCGGGGAATGTGGGCTGGAGAAGCAAGCGGTGGGGGGGCAAGAGGAAACCTAGCTCTGGAACCTGTCTGGAACTAACAGGATCACCCTGGCCTCTCTGTCTCCTGAAGCTACAGGCTAATCCTGATTTTCCACTTCCCTTCAGTTCGAAAAATGTGTGTGCACCAGAATCAATGCTAGGTGCTTGGGATACAAGTAAAAATTAAACATGATTTTTCCTTCTTACATTGCTCAGAGCATTGAAGAAAAGGAAAAAACTTATTAGCTAAATTTTCCTTCACTTTATGTTTTCTGAGGTATTATTTAATTTTGAAATATATTATCTTTTATTTGCATAGGTAATAGAGCTTACCAGGAAAATATTTGGTAAAAATCAGAACAATTATTCTTTTTCTCTGCCTCTTGGTTGCAGGTTGGTACACCTTTTATAAGCCAAAGTTGTTGATATTGTGGTGGTGGTGGTTGTTTTGCTTCTACTCCTCCATTAATGAGGACAGATCTTTATAATTTTACTGTTCTCTGTCTAGGGAGAAATAAGCCTCCATTTCCAGTGAGGCCTTGTCATTCAGTGATTGAGAGAGAGCGCTGGCTCAAGTGCATGGCCCACAGGCAAATTGTCCATACCTGCCCATCAATTACCTAGTACACTCTGCTGTATCAAACAGCAATTGTGCTTATAGAGGGTGTAATACATAGTAGACAAGATGTGGTCTAGAGGACAGAAGTCACTCTGGATATTTAAAGCAGGAAGAATTTAATATAGGAAGTTAGCTGCTTATAAAACCGTTGAGACAGCTGGGAAAGCCAAGAGTCAAGGTCAGTTCAAGTAGCTGGCTTTGTGGAAATTAGGAAATGCAGGAATTGTAGGAATTTCTGCACGTAATCTCAAAGAACCAAAGCACCAGAGTGAGTGACTCACAGGAGCAGGTCTAGAAAGTTCTCTAAACCCCACTTTTTCTTGCTACCCTCTCATCTACAGGCCACTGGAGGGAGAAAATAATGGCTTCTCTTTCTTGTCTTCCTAATTGTATGTAGGCAGCTTTTATTGATAGGATCTAAGTCAGAACTCCAGGAAATCTGAGAAAATTACTTTCTAGGCTTCCTGACCTCGTGAGGTTCAAAAGTAAGTGTGTGTGTGTGTGTGTGTGCGTGTGTGTGCGTGTGCGTGTGTGTGTGTGTGTGCGTGCATGTGGTCACATGAACATGCCTGAGAGTATGTTTTGCGGGGTTAGGGTTTGGGGATGCTGAAGTACCAACAATCTCCAGCATTTAATAATAATAATAATTAATAATAATAATAATATAAAGAGTAACGACTATCATGTATTGAACTTCCCCTTATTCTAGTCACTATGTTAGGGACTTCACATGTATTCTCATAGGTGCTACATAAAAGGGCCACTAGTATCATTCTCATTTTACCGATTAAAAATATGAATTTTAGAAATATGAAATAAATTTATCAAAGGGCACCACTACTAGGTAGTGGTGTAGGCATGCAAATCTAGGTCTATTTTACTTCTATGCATGGACTCTATTTAGAATTAATCTTGCTTCTGCTGTTTGATCAACTGATGGTACAGGGGGATATTTATTTCTCAATAATTTGGTGCTTTCTGTAGTTATTCTCTTGCTATAAAGCAGAAATCAAAACTACAACTCAGAAAGTTGATCATTTTCCTAGATCTTCACATCGGACCCTTTCATCTGATCATTTTTATTTCCTGAAAACTTTATCTGATCTTTGGTTAGTAAAAATTTCTCCAGGGTTTTGGCAGAGCATTGAGAAATCTCAAGTTTCCACTTTTTTTTTTTAACTTGGTAACGTTTGTTTGTGTATGTTTTCATAAATATTATATTAGGGCCACAGCTGGGAGGCCTTCATGGATCTTTTCAATAAAATATAACGAGTCTGTTAATAGAGATATGCATTGGGTGCTGAAGAGAAGGAAGGAGCATGCAATATATATCTCTTTTTTGTGATGACACAGTCTTTAAGAAAATACCCCATACCTTGATGTATTGTTCCAATAACATGGTCACTAGAAGCATGGACAGCACAAAGATGTTTGGTTATAAGGAAGCTAGATGTTTGGATATAGGGAATTTGATACTGCCTATGTAATTATGCTTTCTTGATCTGATGCCTACCTAACTAAGCTTAGTTCTTCAAAATTAAGTATGAAAGCATCTTTTCTTTTTGCCTCCTAAGATTGTAGTTAAGTAACAAATAAGATGATATAATCAGAAGAGAAGAATTATATTCATCCATAAAAGCTTTAAGAATTACAAAATTTTTCCATATGTGTTATCTCATTTGATTCTTATAACCAGACTAAAAAGTAGATAGATTGCATATGATATCCTTATTTTAAAATGAAGATTCTCCAACTCAAAAGGATTAAGAGTGGTGTATTGTGTTCAGTGGGGCTTATCTACATGCACCTCCCATGGAGTTGGCATTGTGATAGAATGAGCCTATTGCAAACCCTGTTCTCAAATTCTCACACTGGGACACATGACTGATCCACACCATCTGTGAAATAGCAATTCAATAAATACTATGGTATGAGAAGTTAGACATATATAGTGTCCGACTGAGTTGTACAGATAGAAAGTGCCAAAAGAGCTTGGAGAAAGCTCTAGGAAAGCCATATAGAAAAACTTCCTCAAGAAAGTTGCTCTGGGGCTCTGGGCCATGGATATGAATTAAGGGCATGAGATGTTGGCCAGAAAAATGTCACTGGTGTGGTCCCAAAGCAGCAGCAAAATAGCTTTTGGTACATTTTTCCTATACCCCAGGAATTAGAGTAGTCATCTAATATGCTATTTTGCATTTAATCTTCACAAGAGCCCCAGGAGTTAACTAAAATCTTTCCTTTTTTAAAAAAATGAGAAAAATCAAGGACATAAAATTGAAGTTACTATTCTGAAATCACACAATTGTTAGATAACAAGGGAAGATTTTAATGTAGTCTGTCTGACTTGAAGTCCAAACTTGGGTCTCTTCATTGTACCAAACTAACAAAGTAATAACTGTGCTTTACCATTGAGGTTACTCATCTATTCAGTCAGCAAATGTTTATTAAGTACTTCTTATGTTCAATGGGAGACACTTGCCTTTGAGAGCCTCAAATGAATGAGAAGATGCTGAATGCTTATAGCAGGTGGTGATTTAATTCATTTCATGTCAGTTACAGGATACATCAGTCTATGCCAGCATTCCATTTGGGAATCTCATATTTTAACATAGTACTGGTAGGGTTCACTCAGGGAATTTCCACCAAGAACATTACCCTCGTTTACTCAGAGGCACATGCCACAACGCACCAAAATTTCTAGAACCTTCTGTTCCTCTACAAAATCAAACACATTTTTGCACACATCACAGTTTGAATGTGCTTTTTCCTCTAAGGTAGAGAGTCCAAAATCACAGGGCAGTGTTAGTTGAAATGACTTGGACATGAATTTAAAGTATAAAGTACCATCTGATTCAAACAGTTAGGAAAAAGATAATGGGAGAGACACTTTAGAAGATAGATGGTTATTGGAAAACAACATTTGGTTGAGGAATTACTAAGACAGCACACTCAGGTCATTTATAATCCACCCAGTGTCTGATGACAAAAAAGAGAAGAAAATGGCATGAAAACTGAGAAATGGTGTTATTTTCCTGCCCCATGAATTTAGCTCAGGAATTAAAGTCTGTTGTATTACATCTAGAATAAACACCACAAGGTATCCATAGGTATCATTCATGAGTGATTATCAAATAAGACTGAGAGCAATGCAACAGGATGCCCTCTGAGGTCCAGAGCCCCTGTCCTCTGACAGCATGAAATCAGTCTTCACAGTGTTAGTTCTGGACTTCAGGCTTGGAGCCGCCACATTTTAGGAGACAGTGTTCCCAATGAGAGGACTTTAGCAGAAGATCAAGTAACTGCAGGTAGCTAGTGCTGTAAGTTATACCGCTATGAGCCATGCTACCTGCCCACTCCTCCATTTTTGAGCATTTTCACTTCAGCCCTTTTTTGCTGCTGCCTTTTTCAGGATTGTAGAGATGTAAGATGATCTTATTTGCTTGTTTGTTTGTTCCTCTTGAGTTCATCCGCTCTGGTATTAAATTATGTGTGTGATTCTCTTTTCTGAATTCCCCAGCATTGGTTGGCTTCTGTTTAAAATACGAGGACCCAAAGTGAAAATGGCACTGCAGATCCAAAACATCAAGCATGCCAAAGGCCTTTTCTTTCTCTCCTTGGTTCGATGAGGCCTTTTTGTCCACAGCCCAAGTGAATTCTTCTCGCCTGCTCCCGTCTCCTCTTGGCAATGTCTTTATGATAAAATGTCCACTTTCTCCAAACCCTCATTGTCCCTGCTGCTCTGCTTCCCATTAACCATGTGTGTTTCTGCTTGTTTGTCTCCAGATGTATTCGTTAGCATTTTTCCAGTTGAATCTCATCCTGTTATTTCTTGCTCATATTGCTAACCTCTCCAGGGGCCCATATGCTTCCATAGCTCTTGTGCCAAAACCACAGAGTATCTTAATACAAACCTTCCTTCAACATCTTCACACCAGCCAAAACCACAGGCTCAATAGACTGCCAGCATGATTTATAACCAGCTTTGTCCCAGTGTTAGAGGATGAGCACCAGGTTTGAAATTGAATCATAACCATGTCAGTTCCTAGGTGTGTGACCTTAGGCAAGGCAGTTTCACCCTTGAGCCTCAGTTTCCTCACCTCCATTCTCAGAATGGCAACCACTTTGCACGGTCAGAATATGAGATAATGGCTGGTGAGCACTTTCTATGTTCCCTGGCAACCGGAGGCACGTTCTGTCTTTTGGGACAGCAGAAAGGACAAGAGACTGTTAGACTCAATAATAAAGAGACTCTCTGCCAAACCCAGGCAAGACTAGAACATTAATGAAATGACTGTCTTAAATATATCAAACTGTTAGAGCAAATTAGTGAAAAAAATGCTGGCTACAGGAAACTGGCCTTTGAGGCCATGGCCTCCTCCTATTTCACTAAGTTTTCTTGCTTCTTGTAGATAGGCTTTCAGCTCCCTGAACACACTATGCATGCTCACACCAGCAATCCTAATGACATTATTTTTCTATAGTATCTCTATCCCTTCCCACATCTTTACCCACCTAACAAACTTGTCTTCAACCTTCAAGTCTCAAGTCAAGCATCACCTCTTTCAGGAAACTGTCTTAACCTCTCCAGGCTGAATTAAATACTTATGCTTATGTGCAAATCTCTTCAACTGCTGCAAACCTCTCAGAGCACAAATAACATTGCTGTGATTTGTGCTTTCTGTCTATCCCTAGACTTGTTTGTGCACCTCTACAAGGAAAGAGCAATATTCCACTTATCTGTGTATTTCAACTTTCCAGAATAATGTTTGGTACACTAAATAAATGCCTGATGAAAACACGTGTGAATCAATGAATAAATGAAAAACATCCCATCAGTTAAATTCAACTTTGGCTAACAGCAAGCCCAGCATGATTTTGATTTTCAGACCTGTCTTAGGAGGATAGATAGAAGTAGTTCTGTTGAAATAACTGAAATGCCTTTCACAGTGGCTCTCCACCCTGAACTGCCGTTAGAAATGCCATTTGCTATGCCCTCTCCCCACTTCCAGGGACAGAGAAAATCAGACTGTTGTTCATCTGATGCAGTTTTTCTAAATGATTAGTAAGAATGGATCAGAAATCAAGGAAACCTAGCAGCAAGGCAAGATCTAATTGCTGCAGCCATGTACAAAAGGGAATCCAGTTAGTGGGAATGAGGAGAAGCTTATAAGCTCTGGGAGGGTAAAGACTGTGTCTTTCATTAATACACACTGTTAAGCTCACTCATTCTTTGAGTCCTGACTCAGTCTTTTAAGTCCTGACCCTTTGGTTGGAATATTCTTTCTCAGATCATCTTAGGGTTAAAAGAGGACTTCTTTGATCATCTTATGTAAAGAAGCACCCCATCTCCCTTGTCACACTTTGTAACAGCATCAAAATTCATTTTCTTGTATCATTTATCACTTGATAAACTTATGTTGTTTACTTATCTCTTCTTGCCTTCTGTCTCTTCCCACCACTGTGCCTGCCTGCCTCTTTTTAAGACTCCAGGTCCCATGAGGGTAGAGATGGTTTTTTAATTAATAGGTATTTAGTAAGTATTTGGGAACTGACTGATTCATTGCTTCCACTGTAACATTTTCCTTCTTCATTTGCTTATTCAGCTAATAAGGATTAAGGACTGGCTGATATTGTAGTAGGGGGATGTGGTAAACTTAAAAGAAGTTAACTTAGAAGGGTTATAATGGAAAAGGGCCATATTTGTAAAACAACTGTCTCTGAAATTGAGAAATAGGGCAGTAGCATAAAGTAATGAATAAAATGTACTTATTTTATTGAAGTCCTTATTTTCCTAGAGACGAGGGTACAATAAAGGCTGGCCACGTGCAGGCATTTCTATCCAGCTCAATACCTGGTTTGCAGATGAGAGATTGCCTACAATACCAATGTGCCCATTTGTCCAGGCTACCCCTAATCCCTGGGCATATATTTAACCTAAATTGAAGATGAGCTCATGGGGAAGATCCAAAACTCAACCTCTGATTTCCTAATACTCTTAAACTTTCTGATTTCCTAATACTCTTAAACTTATAGGTCTTGGATTATTGTGTAGTGAAAAGCTAATATTCATTTACCATAATTGACAGTTTATTGATGTTTTCAGTTATGTAAATCCAGCATGTAGCCATGGATAAAACAGGAAATTGAGCACTGATCATTTTTCTCAGAACTGTTTTCCAAAGAGACTTTAATTTAACCCTTTGGAGGTGGGAAAAGTGTAAAAGAAATTCTGAAGTCAGTGGCTTGAGTAAGACACAGGATTCTGTCTTAAAATGGAATCTTAAAGCAGGAGGCTATAAATATGAATGAAGAATATAAGAATCAGATTGAATACACCTGAACTTGGATAATGTTCCATTGTAGAGGCTTTTTAAACATCTGAGAGGAGGAATACACTGGGCTGACAATCAGGTGCCATCCAAATGAGGCCACGTCATGCAGAGCTCTAGGCAAGCAAAGAAAGGGGAGTGGATTCTTCAGTTACATTGCCCATCACCTTTCTCTGCATACTCAGGGTCTGTCTTAAGGGTCCTCCAAGTGTACGTCCTCCAAGTAGACCAAATCTGCAGAACCTCGGCCAAGGTCCTTCCTGTGTTCTTCTAGCTGCTAGTTATTGCCTCCTTACTGTACTTTGTCCTCTCTACCCTACACTTCTCTCAGACTTGCCACTGATATTTAATCCCTAACACAAAAACTTAGGAGGACATTAAACAATGAATGGAGAAAATAAGCCTTTAGAGAGCGTTAAGGGAAAAGACATGACTCACTTTATGTATAGCTTCCTTCACACAGCAGATACCCACCAAGTACCTATTCTGTGTTAGGTACTGTGACAGTATCCAGAGTAGAAAATCTTAGGTCTTAAACTTCAAGACTCAGTCTAGGGAAGTATATAAAATATATTGTCCAACTATAATGAAATGTGATGATATTGGTTTCTAAACTTGTCCCTGAATTAGGTTTATGCAAGATATTTGATATAAATCCAGATCTCTTGGTCTCCCCTAGATATATTGAAAGAAAATCTTCTAGGGTAGGACTCAGAATTCTGCATTAAAAACAAAAACATTCTTTTTTTTTTTTTTTTTTTTTTTTGAGACGGAGTCTCACTCTGTCGCCTAGGCTGGAGTTCAGTAGCGTGATCTTGGCTCACTGCAACCTCCTCCTCCCAAGTTCAAGTGATTCTCCTGCCTCAGCCTCCCGAGTAGCTGGGGTAACAGGCGCCTGCCACCGCAAACAAAAACATTATTTTCCAGGGATTCTGATGACCTGGACCACATATCTTTTTTGGGAAGTACTGCTCTAATAGATGCCTGCATGGTGTACAGTAATTAAACCAAGAAAGGTACTTTCTCAGCTTCCTGGTTCCTCAAAGGTCACTCCTTCCAGTGTCTTTCACTATGGGTTTGTAGGTTTCATACCCTCTTCACTTACAGAAGTTGTCTTACTTTTATTTTCTATTTTCATCAGCTATCACCAACAGATTGCCTTGGAAGGATGGTTGCTTTTATCTGTATAATACAAGAAAAAAGATTATGCCATGTATTACATATCTATAGGAAAGTCTCTGACTTTTATGTACTGTGATTTTAGCTCATGGTTTGAGCTTAATAGCAATGTGCTTTAACGCCTGGTCTGTGATATAATTGGAATGCATTCAAGAGCCTGCTACTTCCTATGCATAATTTTGAAATATAGGTACGATGTGTCATTTAATGGAGGAGAAAGAACCAACTGCAGATTGACCTTGTTTGCACTTTCATTAAAGTGCTCCGCTAAGTTAATTGTCACTAAGAACAACGTAACATTTTGTGAAGGACCATTTTCCGGGATCAACCCCAAAGTCCTGATCTCATCCCCTGCTGTTAATTGATGTGGCCAGGACCTTTCTGATGAATATATTGTGTAAAACTGGTGAGGATTATTTTTCTCTGAAACAATGTTTGACTTTCAGATTGAAAGTTGCAGCAGGAAGAAGTCAATTATGTTAGCTTTTTTTTTTTTCTACCAAGAAACATAAATAGAAAAAGTCAAAATTGCAATTTGTGCAGCAAAGGGGAAAATGTATAGGTAAAGGGAAAATGACATCAAGTGGGCTGACTCTTACACCCTTACCCTATCACTACCACTACCACTATAACTTGCCTCCAGGTGATCATTTTGAATCTGTGAGGCTGGCCGTATTAGTCTGTTTTCATACTGCTGATAAAGACATACCTGAGACTGGGCAGTTTACAAAAGAAAGAGGTTTAATTGTACTTATAGTTCCACGTGGCTGGGGAAGCCTCACAATCATGGAGGAAGGCAAGGAAGAGCAAGTCACATCTTATATGGGTGGCAGCAAGCAAAGAGAGAATGAGCACCAAGAGAAACGGGTTTCCCCTTATCAAACCATCATACCTCCTGAGACTTATTCATTACCATGAGAACAGTACAGGAAAGACTTGCCCCCATAATTCAAACATCTCCCACGGGGGTCCCTCCCATAACATGTGGGAATTATGGGAGCTGTAAGATGAGATTTGCATAGAAACACAAAGCCAAACCTCATCATTCTGCCCCTGGCCCCTCTTGAATCTCATATCTTCACATTTCAAAATCAATCATGCCTTCCCAAAAGTCCCCCAAAGTCTTAACTCATTTCAGCATTAACTCAAAAGTCCACACTCCAAAGTTTTATCTGAGATAAGGCAATTCCCTTCTACCTATAAGCCTGTAAAATCAAAAGCAAGTTAGTTACTTCCTACGTACAATGGGGGTACAGGCATTGGGTAAATACATCCATTCCAAATGGGAGAAATTGGCCAAAACAAAGGGACTACAGGCCCTACACAAGTTTGAAATCCAGCAGGGCAGTCAAATATTAAAGCTCCAAAATGATCTCCTTTGACTCCATGTCTCGCATCCAGGTCATGTTGTTGCAAGAGGTGGGTTCCCATGGTCTTGATTAGCTCTGCCCCTGTGGCTTTGCAGGGTATAACCTCCCCTCTGGCTGCTTTCATGGGCTGGTATTGAGTGTCTGTGGCTTTTCCAGGTGCACAGTGCAAGCTGTCAGTGGATCTACCATTCTGGAGTCTGGAAGATGGTAGCCCTCTTCTCACAACTACACTAGGCAGTGCCCCAGTGGGGACTCTATGTGGGGACTCCAACCCCACACTTCCCTTCCACACTGCCCTAGCAAAGGTTCTCCATGAGGGACCCACCCTTGCAGCAAACTTCTGCCACGGCATCCAGGCATTTCCATTCATCTTCTGTAATCTAGGTGGAGATTCCCAAACCTCAATTCTTGACTTCTGTGCACTCGCTCAACACTACATGGAAACTGCCAAGGCTTGAGGCTTGCACCCTCTGAAGCCACAGCCTGATCTCTATGTTGGCCCCTTTCAGCCATGGCTACAGTGGCTGGGATGTAGGACATCAAGTCCCTATGCTGCACATAGCACAGGGACACTAGCCCTGGCCCACAAAACCATTTTTTCCTAGGCCTCTGGGCCTGTGATGGGAGGGGCTGCTGTGAAGACCTCTGTCATGCCCTGGAGACATTTTCTCCATTGTCTTGGGGATTAACATTGGACCCCTTGTTGCTTATGCAAATATCTGCAGCTGGCTAGAATTTCTCCTTAAAAAATGGTTTTTTTTTTTTTTTTTTTTTTTTTTTTTTTTGGAGACGGAGTCTTGCTCTGTTGCCCAGACTAGATTTCAGTGGCACAATCTCGGCTTGCTGCAACCTCCACCTCCTGGGTTCAAGTGATTCTCCTGCCTCAGCCTCCCAAGTAGCTGGGACTACAGGCACCCGCCACCATGCCTGGCTAGTTTTTTGTATTTTTAGTAAAGACGGGGTTTCACTGTGTTAGCCAGGATGGTCTTGATCTCCTGACCTTATGATCTGCCTGCCTTGGCCTCCAAAAGTGCTGGGATTACAGGTGTGAGCCACTGCGCCTGGCCTGGGTTGTTTTTTTTTTTTTTCCTACTGTCACATTGTTAGGCTGCAAATTTTCTGAACTTTTATGCTCTGCTTCCCTTTTAAAGCTGAATGCCTTTAATAGCACCCAAGTCACCTCTTGACTGCTTTGGTGCTTAGAAATTTCTTCTGCCAGATACCCTAAATTATCTCTCTGAAGTTCACAGTTCCACAAATCTCTAGGGCAGGGATAAAATGCCAGCAGTCTCTTTGCTAAAACATAACAAGAGCCACCTTTGCTCCAATTCCCAACAAGTTCTTCATCTCCATCTGAGACCACCTCAGCATGGACCTTATTGTGCATATCGCTATCAGGCTTTTGGTCAAAGCCATTCAACAACTCTCTAGGAAGTTCCAAACTTTCCCACATTTTCCTGTCTTCTTTTGAGCCCTCTAAACATTTCCAGCCTCTGCCTGTTTCCCAGTTCCAAAGTCGTTTCCACATTTTCTGGTATCTTTTCAGCAATGTCCCACTGTACTGGTACCAGTTTACTGTATTAGTTCATTTTCATGCTCCTGATAAAAACATACCTGAGACTGGGCAGTTTACCAAAGAAAGAGGTTTAATTGGACTTACAGTTCCATGTGGCTGGGGAAGCCTCACAATCATGGAGGAAGGCAAGGAAGAGCAAGTCACGTCTTACATGGATGGCAGCAAGCAAAGACAGAATGGGCACCAAGCCCATTCCCCTTATCAAATCATCATATCTCATGAGACTTATTCACTACCATGAGAACAGTACAGGAAAGACCCGCCCCCATAATTCGAACATCTTCCATCGGGTCCTTCCCACCACACATGGGAATTGTGGGAACTACAAGATGAGACATTGGTGGGGACACAGAGCCAAACCACATCACTGGCCGTATGGTTATCAGATCATTACTTCAAAGACATTGTGCCTACAACTTAAGCTACTATAAGCCTCTTGAGGCAATGTCTATGTTTTACTTATTTTTCTTCTACATAGCACAGAGTCATTATCTGCTTAGTATATAGCATCCACTTAATAATCTTACTGATATTGTTGGCTTGGTTATGGTACTGTGATTCAAAAATCTTAACTTTAAAAGATGTCACTCCATAGTTTAGAAACTCTACCTTCAGACACTCCTCCTAGCAGCTCTTATAAAGAGGAAGGTAGTTGCCAATAATAATAAAAATAGTTAATACTTGCTGATTGTTTAGCAGACATTGAAACTAAGGGTCAGGTACCATTAGCCACAGATATTACATATGAAGAGATTACAGCATAACAGTAAAGTCATTTGTTCAAGCTAAGAAGATTTCAAATGAAAATTGAACTTCATATATCCCAGTCCTAATCATTTTCCTCTTTGAATTGCATGTATGTGTTGTTGATATCCTCCCAAATAATCGCTAAACTCTAACTAAATAGTGCAGTTTTTAGTTCATTAGTTTTATGTATTGAGTTTTCATTAAATATTTTAAATGAACAAAATGTTTAGTGGATAAACCACTGATGTGTATAAAAGAGACAGATAACCTATGATATGTTTGTAAAAGTGCTTTTTCTGGAAACTTGCTTGGCTTTATATAACAACATATTGAAAAAACTAATATTTTCATTCTATAATGATGTCATTTATTATAAAATGCAAAGAAATGCCAATACTTGGGCATATAATAAATTCTATTAATAATTTAGTGTAAACTAAGCAGTGTCTAAGCCACTGGGCTTATACTGAGCTTTCTTTGCTAAATGTCTCTTTGCTGCTGAATATATCAATGCTATAAATTAACTAAGTAGCATAAGATAATGATATCATGTTTATTGAATGTAAGATAGTATAGATTGCAAGATGCACCATTATTTTATATACCATTAAGAAATAAAAAAGTACCACTACTGACTACATGATGACATGCCAGCATATAAAAGATTAATTTTGGACACATTAAAGTGTGAAAACATGCATCTTAGAATTAACTAAATAGTTACCTCCAATACTCTTGTGATATTAGTAGTGTTTAATTTGTATCTTACTATAAAGAGAAATAATTCATCCTCCGTATAGAGTCCTGGTTAAGAAAATGAACTTTAGATTTGGACTTCATGATTTAGGATACTGACTTCACCGATAGTAGGCAACTTACTTTCTGTCATTTAGTTTCACCATTTAATACCGGATGACACTGTGAAAATGACATATGGTAATACACAGAGAATTGTTTGTCACATAATAAGAAACATGCTGGGTGTAAAACAAATTCTAGGTATTTATGTTTTATAATTAGATGTGAAAATATGGAGGAAAGTAGTAAGTATTCTGTTCAAATATAGAAAGTGACCACAAATTCTTTGATGTTCCTCTCATCAAAGAAGTTCTTTCTGACGGTGGCTCACACCTGTAATCCCAACACTTTGGGAGGCCCAGGTGGGCACATCGCTTGAGGTCAGGAGTTGAAGGTCAGCCTGGCCAACATAGTGAAACCTTGTCTCCACTAAAAATACAAAAATTACCTAGGCATGGTGGTGCACACGTGTAATCCCCAGCTACTTTGGAGGTTGGGACAGGAGAATTACTTGAACCCAGGAGGCAGAGGTTGCAGTGAGCCGAGATTGTGCCACTGCACTCCAGCCTGGGTGACAGAGTGAGTGAGACTCTGTTTAAAAAAAAAACAAAAAACAAAAAAAAAAAAACCTATTTCTTTCTCCACCCATTGAATATTGACTATTAATTTATCCTTATGAATTTCTTTGGCCAGTGGGAAACTAGAAAACATGATACAAGCAAAAGTTTGAAAAGGTGTTTGTTTTGTTTTGTTTTTGATCATGAAATAACTGTTGGATAATGAAGGGTATGTATAGGTATCACCCAGTTGACACAAAGCCAACCATCAGTCACAGTCACAGGGGAGAAATATTGTTACATATCAACAACTTACCAAATGCCAGAGATGTGTGTGAGCCCATCCAAGACCTACTAGCCCTCCAAGAACCCATCATCTGAATGCAACTGTATAAATAAAATAAGCCTAGGCAAGAAGGACTGCCCAGCTGAGCCCAGCTCAACTTACTGATCCACATAAGTCAACTCTTAAAGAACTGTTTTCTGTTTTTGGTTTTTTTTTTTGTTTTTTGAGACAGGATCCCTTTCTGTCACACAGGCTGGTATGCAGTGGCACAATCACAGCTCACTGCAGCCTTGACCTCCCAGGCTTCAGCAATCCTCCTACCTCAGCTTCCCTCGTACCTGGAACTATAGGCATGCACCACCATGCCTGGCTAATTTTTGTATTTTTTAATAGAGATGTGGTATTACTATATTGCCTAGGCTGGACTTTAATTCCTGGGTCACCCCTGACTCAGCCTCCCAAAGTGCTGGGATTACAGGTGTGAGCCACCATGCCTGGCCTAAAGAATTGTTGCTTTAAGCTACCAAATGTTAGGAGTTTGTTTTGCAGCAAAGCCACTGATACTATGGAGACACACTATTCCCCTGTAGCTGTGCTACAGGAGACGATTTCTTTTTCCCAATATGAAAAAAGTCTTATCTTTATTAGTCTTTTTAAAAATTATGGTTTAACGTGTAAAATTCTAATTTAATTAAATCTATTAAACAGCCTCACAAGATCTAAAATCCTTTCAAACTTTGTGTGTGGCAAAAACAGATTTTAATTCCTTCTGAGTAAGTAGTAAGTTTAAATTTTGAAGGCTTTTAATAGTAAAGAGAGAGAGAAAAAAAGCAATATGAGATAAGTAGGGAAGCAACATGTTGATACTTTGCAACTTAAATATGTCTTTGACTGCCTGCTTGTTTGGATTTTTTTTAATAGTAATAACAGGTCATTTAATCCTGGCTACAACAACAACGAAAAATCCATAAAAGAACCTTGACATACTTTGGATTCCTTCTCTTATTCCATCCTCTGCCTTTCCGTTCTTGAAATGGTATGGAAAGGTGCATGGGAAAGCCCTTTCTGGCAGATAAATCTGCTGATAGTTTTGCAGATGTGTTTTTCTAGAATATTTAACTCACCTCTTCTTCCATCTTCATGACCAGCACAGTATTGAGAAAAAGATGGTACTTAACATGATGCACTAGCTTTGAGAACAACACATTCTCTGGGGAAGACAATGCCAGCTGAGAAATGATTTTTTCCTACTCTGTACAGTCCAGACTTTCACATATGTACTGAATAAAAAGTAAAACTTCCATATGGCACCAGAGGACTTGACTGGAAATATTAATAATCATTTAATAAAAAACTAATTTGGAGGCCTCTGGAAAAACTGCAAGACAGAAAATGAGAAATTATCTCACAATTCTTTTTGCCTTCTCACACTGCCAAATGAAAATTAACAAGGAATTTTCAGACTCATGTTATCATGGTTATTTAATAATGAAAGAAGATGGATCTGAAAACCTATAGGATTCTTCCAAGAAACCTCTTTACTGGTCTATGGGCCATCTCATTAGTTTATTTGTTTGTTTTTAATTTCTCACCACTGTAAAGAAAAATATGTCTTAATATTTTCCACCAAAAAATAGGTTAGTAATAAGACAGTTTCTGTAATTCTTATACCTGTGTTTGTAATATGTCATTAAATATTTATACACTCATATCTTCTGCTAGTTAGTGAGTTATTTTAGAATATATACTTCTACCTTTTATCTTTCGTGACTGGCATAATGTTTCAATCTGTTGCTACATAACAAAATACCCCCAAATTTAGCAGCTTAAAACAACAATACTTTCTTGTTTCTCGTGATTCTGCGAGTTGATAAGCAGTCCTGCACTGAGCTGGGAGCTGAGCCGGGGCTGGGAAGTCCAAGATGGTCTCCTTCATATATCTGTCAGACAGTGTCGGCTGTTGGCTGCACATCAGTTCTCCACATGGTCTACCTCTTCTTCCATTAGCTTAGATAGGCTTCCCTAGTGTATGGAGGCTGGGTTCCAAGAGAGCGAAGCTCAAGCTGCCAAGCCTTTTACAAGTTGGGCCCAGGACTGGCATGGTGTCATGTTCGCTGCATTCCGTTTGTCAAAGCCAGCCTAGATTTAAGTGGAAGTGAAATAGAGTCCACCTCTGGAAGGAAGGAGAGGTCAATGAGTACTAGGATGGGAAGAAGTGTTGGTGGTCATCTTTGAGGGAATTCATAGTTTTTAAAATACATTCATTGATTGAATGAGTGAGTGAGCAGTGGAAAAACCTATTGTCTAGATGACAACCAGAATTCTGAAGAATAATGTACTGGAAAGAGAATGTATGTATTTCCCTTTACTCCTTTTCAACTTCTCTTTCTTTTTTATTCATTCAGAAATTTTGAATAATGATTAAGCATTTGCCAGAAAGAGATGAAGTGACTGGCAACTGGCATTTCAGACAGAAGGGGCACCCTGTGCAAAGACCTAGAGCAATAAAATTACATGATGAGCATGGGGAACAGTGAGTAATTGAATGTGGCTCATAGGTTGGGACGCATACAGAAGACTGGTGAGAGATAAAGCTGAAAATGTAAAAGGAGGAGCTGGAATGTCATAGAAAGAAAATTGGCATTTGTTCTTTAAGCAATGGAGAGTTGTTGAAGGATTTGAAATAGAGTATAATCCTGATGAGGTTTTTTAGTGTATGTGTAAGATAGACTATCTGGACTCTAGTGAGGACAGAAGTCGTGTGTGTCTTGTTCATTTCTACATACTCTCTTAAAACTCTAAGACACCTACCATGTGGCCAATTTTTTTTTAATGTTGAGTGCTTGATTGCTGAATATTCATTCAGATTGTTCACATGTGCCAGACTATTTGGAAAACTAAGTGTGAGGGAGTTCATACAGGGGTTTTTGGGAAATTGGCTGGAGTCATAGATGATGGACTACAGCATGCAGACTTTGAAAATCATGATGAAGAGGAAGAGAATAATAGATTAAGAAAGGAATAGATTAATTAATATATCAATAGAATGTTGAGGAATAGAGGACTGGATTAATGGAATAGATTAATAGACTTTGTCAAGCTGATCCTTTCACCAGGAAAACTGTTGAGATTACATCATCTCACTTATTTTGTCCCAAAAGACAGAGTCTGAATACCTATTCTTCCCATTCATTTACTTATGTAATTAGATATAATTTGCCTTTATAAACTATTTCAACTACACCATAAATATGTAACTTTACCATTTTATTTGTTCACCTTCTCTCTGAATTTTGGTCTATTTGGAGTAAAGACACTTATTATGTATTTTGCTTACATCATGTTATGATTGGTGTGGAGGAAATGATACACCTCTTCACATTTAATTTTTCCCATTAGCAAAACACTTTCTTGTACATTTCATTTTAACATTGGTACCTACAGCAACTATAATAGGTGGGAAGTCTGAATCCCTTTTGCAGAAAAAGAAGGTGAGGTTTTGACAGTTTAAAGAACCTATGCATTTACTCTAATGTCAGGGAAATTACTCCCAATGAGAAATGTAAGTGGATCAAACTAAAAGATGAATTTAATGAAATTTCTGAAAGTCTTGAACTACTTCTGTAAGCTGACATATAGATTCTTTGCTCTGTGACCTTTGGGCAATTTCATATTTCTCGGGAATTGTTTGTTTAATGCTTCAACCTGAACATCTCCTGGAAGAGCAAGATCAAGAGCACCAAGAAGTACACATTTCTCCCTAAGATACACCTGATCATAAAAGGCCATAGGCCAAGTCCCAAGTCATAAGGAGGCCCTTCTGTAATAAACCTGAGTGGCCAGCACTATGCTTCAGCACATAATGAAATTCCAGAGATAGGCAACTCTGCCTCCGGACCTGTCTTCAGAATCAGCCTTTGGACAGCAGTTAGAGATTTTAGAAGGCCTTACACGTGCATTTGGAGTGCACTATTCTATAGACTGGAAACAAATCCCACCAAGTGTTAAAGAAAATGTAAATGTGGCTCAGATTTCTTTATAAACTGTTACTTTGTAAATCGACAGAATGATTATACTTAGGGAATGGGTAGTGATGAAAATAAATTGATGATTTATTTTTTAAAACCTCTCTTCTCAAAAGAGAGTGACTTATAAATGAGAAATGAGGAAAATTCCTGAGTTTTATCAAGAATGTGGGGAAAGAAGAAGGTAAAGTGGGCCTTTCCTATTACAATTCTTGCCTTCAATCCCCTTCCTCATCTTTCCTGAATGTTTCCTTTCACATTTAATATAAGTGTAGTTATTCTTTCTATTTTAATTATAGAGATGTACTCAGGATGCTTTCTAATTTAAAGTATTGAGACACAAATTCATTCTGGAGATACTGCTGGGTAGCACTGGAATGTGTTAATCCCAGTATTAACCTGTCTCCTCTCTCTGCCTTTCTATTATCAAGAATTCTATCACCTGTGACTTCATGATCACATCTCTAAAGGTGTTACTTGGTGGGCTGATCTAGTTGCTTATAGCTATGAGAGCGTAAGCTGCAGAACTCGGTATTACAGTTATGCTATCACAGTTCTGACCATCATCTGTATGTTGATTTAAGTATTCCCTCCAAGCCTCCACTCCTTTTCACACTGGGACTTCTCATCCTGATTCCCAACTCATGGCAGTGTTACGTGACGTCAGTGTGGGGTGCTGTTCCCCCTCCTCTGATTTCCACCTGGAGAGATGTTCCCTTTACACTCCCAGCTCCATGTCTTGCCACTTCGTTACTCCTTTCCAAAAGAATAGGAGTGAATGCTGATTAATACTTTGGGTGCAGTGACTTAAGATACTCTCCTTTTTCTCTCAGAATGGATATTCCCGCCTGCAAAGAGCTTACGCTTCCCTCTACCCTTGGCCATGTGTGGTGCTGACTTGCAGATGAGTTGCCAATGATGTCCCACAATGCTTGTAATGGAGTGGGTAATTTACATTCAAGGACATAGTATTAAAGGGTCCACCTAGTTAACAGGCCTAAATCCGCATTCCCCCACCCAGCCTTTTTGACAGCAATAGATGTGATTTACTCATCTTTGTCTTCCTGAGTCATTTCTCTTTAAATATGATCAAGCTGAGACAGAGAGGTGAGGGTGTGATTCACTAGCCTTAGTTTTTTGCCTATAACTTCTTGTTGGACTTTTCTGAATGCCCCTCCTATAAAATGAGAAGGATCCTGCTATATTGTGCTCTTTTGCTTTAGTTAGTTAGTAAACTCATATATTAATTCTCTCCACATAACTAGAAAAAAAGTGCTCTAAGACATGCGTGATGGTGCATAACATGACCCTAACTGCCAACAAATGTGAACAAGAGTGTGAAAACTCAGAGGCATGTGATTTATTTGGAACTTCCCTACAGGAGACTATGTTATCTTGGGTGAAAGGAAGCTAGCAGAATAGAGAGTAATACGGTGTTTTTTTTGGGTGGGGGAGCTTTTCTCCCTCTTATCAAGAGAATTCTTTTGTTTGAAAACCTACTTTAGGTCCAATAGATAGAATAGGTTAAAATGATGCTGCCATAAAGTGGGGATGAAAGGCTTCCTGTGCCACTTGGGTGCCTCCATGATACCCTTAGAACACATGGCTGCACTTTTGTTTTTTTTCCATTTGTAGAGATGAGATCTCTCTATGTTGCCCAGGATGGTCTTGAACTCCTGGGATCAAGCAATCCTCCTGCTCAGCCTCCCAAAGTGCTGGGATTACAGGTGTGAGTCATGGTTCCCAGCCTGCATTCACTTTTAATGCCACAGAATCACTTCCCTGGAAGTCAAGCCCATGAAGATTTATGTCCATAAACACCTCAATGAACAAAGAGCATTTGAATTGACCAAAAATTCATTTTTATCACCTTTTGAAGGCAGCTGGACTCTTAAGTTCTTCTGGCTTATAGAATTTAACATAATATTTTAAAAAGTATGAAGTGGCTCACTCTCTAAATTCCTAGGGTATCGCATCTCAGCATCCCATTCTTGAATTTTCCACAATGTCTAGAATAGTACACCTGTCTTAAAGCTGACAGTCAATGAATGCTTAATGACTGAATGAGTAAATGAATGAATAGAAAAAGCTGATAGCTGTTTTTGGGAGCAGTGGAGGACAAGAACCAGCCAGACACTATGTAATAAAGAATCTCATTCAGAAAGTTTCTCTATTGACTTTTCAAAGATCAGAAATCTATAGACCTGAAATTACCTTCTCCATCTTTCAAAGGTAAATTTTCACAAAGGGAAACTCCTGTCGGTTGGAATATGACTTTCCCCTGCTGAAAACACCTGTTCCTGACAGATTTGGCTTCTTTACCCTACAAGGGCACTGTGAAGAGATGACCCACAGCCTTTCCAGAAAAAAGTACAAGGAAATAACACTTGTTTCATTTAGGTGACAAGACTGATTATAAGCTATTTTTCAGGTGTGTCTTAAGTTTCTGATTTCAGCCACGTTTCATCTCTTTTTCTAGAAAATGAATATTGGGGGTTAAAAAAATACTGTTGGCCAGGTGCGGTGGCTCATGCCTGAAATCCCAGCACTTTGGGAGGCTGACGTGGGCAGATCACGAGGTCAGGAGATTGAGACCATCCTGGCTAACACGGTGAAACCCCATCTCTACTAAAAATACACAATTAGCTGGGCGTGACAGCTCATGCTGCCAGCTACTTGGGAGGCTGAAGCAGGAGAATCACTTTAACCCAGGAGGTGGAGGATGCAGTGAGCCGAGATCATGCCACTGCACTCCAGCCTGGTGACAAAGCTAGACTCCATCTCTTTCTCTCTCTCTCTATTATATATTTATATACAATATATATGTGTATATATAATATATATAAAACATTTATATATATGTGTATATATATTATATATAAACGTTTATATATAATATATATGTGTGTATATGTGCACACATACACACACATATATGCGTGTATATGTGCACACATACACACACATATGCGTGTATATGTGCACACATACACATATATGCGTGTATATGTGCACACATACACACACATATATGCGTGTGTATGTGTACACATACGCATACATGTATGCGCGTGTATGTGCATATATACGCATACATGTATGCGTGTGTATGTGTATATACGCATACATGTATGTGTATATGTGTATACACATACATGTATGTGTATATGCGTATATATACGCATACACATGTATATATGTGTATATATACATACATACATGTATATATGTGTATATATACACATATATGTATGTGTATATATACACATATATGTATGTGTATATGTATGAATATATATGTATATATGTATGCATATATATGTATATATACACATGTATGTATGTGTATATATATATACCAAGAATTCATTTTTATCACCTTTTGGAGGCAACTTGACTCTTAAGTCCCTTCTGGCTTATAGAATTAAACATAATATTTCAAAAAGTAGAAGGTGGCTCACTCTCTAAATTCCTAAGGTATCGCAGCTCAGCATCCCGTTCTTGAATTTTCTACAATGTCTAGAATATAGAATATTGAAGAATATATATATAGTCTTTCCATACTGACCCTTATCAACTTACCATCTCCAAACCCTAACTGTTGACTCTGATGGAAAGCCTGTGCGAACAAGGAATTTGTTTCTGTCATTCTCTTATATCTGTGGGTCCCAAAAGTTGCTGAAGTGCCCTTGGGCGCCATGGAAAATTCACATGGGTATCTTGGTATAGTTTAAATGTTTCAGCGAAATGCAACAATGTTTGTTAGACATCCCACAAAATACTCTCAAGGCAGCTCACAGTTTGAGCATTAGACTGAGCAATTTTCCTCTAGGTGATGCCGGCTGGGATTTGGGAGGTTGCTGTGATACAAAGAAAACATGACATGAAAATCATCATGGAACAGGACACAAGGGTGGCAGTGCCCAATCTGATTCCAAGGTTTGACTTTTACAGCATCCTCAGGTGCACATACCTCATTAGTGACTAATTGTGGTTACTTAAACATGAGATGAAAGTTGTATGTGTTCTTTCCATGTGTGCATATTGTTTTCTTTCAAATGACGACTAAGTTGTTAATAAACACTTGTTAAATTATTTGGACCTAGCTAATTAATTAATTTGGTTTGGAGGCACTGTGTTAATGGTGGCAGCCAGACGGGATTCAGTTTTTAAAGATTTATAGGACCCAAAATGCCAGTACTTACAAATCTATGATTTCTTGGAGGAAAATGATATAATTTAGAAACAACATTAAAATAAGAACTTGCATTTGCAGCCAAAGGCTGCCCCACAGTAAAGGGTGTGGAGAGACCAGGCATGAGTGAAACTTTCCACTTGCTTCAGGACCATACTGGATACACTTCCTCTCTTGGATCAGGACCATGTCATCGTGTGCACTGGCACCTCAGAACCAGGGAGTTCACTATGGAGGCTTGGCCTTGGTTTCTTATACCCTGCTTGTTATCTAGGCATATTTGTTGTTACATAAATGGCTCCAATGGTAGGGCCCTCCCGGGGGTTCTTGCTGAAACTAGGGGCAAACCATCATCTTACTGTTTATCAATAAACCATGCCATCAAATTGACACAAACATCCTTGGACCCATTGTTACAAAATAACACTATTAATCAGTGGATGTTATGCCTTGACCAAGGGTCAGTCAGCACCCTGAAGGCACACCTCTTACCTCAGGAAAACAATTTAGGCAAATTTCAGATGTGCTGGACTTTACCCCCACAGCATAGACACTGTGTAAAAAGTACCAGGCACTGGAGTATCTTGAGAAAGTTTGGACATTTCTGCCTTGAAACTTGATTTCAATAAATGCATCTATATGTGTTGTTATGGCAATTAGTGTGCAGTAGAAATGTGTTGAACTCTAGGGCCTTTTATTTGAACAGCTTCATGAAACTTAACGTTATTTTCCAGATACCTAATCTTGTTGACAATGTTTTCAGCCTCATTTCTGAACAGAATATTCATCTTCAGGACAAGTAACAGCACAACATTTACCTCTTTATGAAAAAAATGACAAAAGAATAAAAAATGAAATAGAAAAAGGATTCTTATAGGAAATCATGTGAATAAAACAGAGAACATAGGACAAATTACTTTTTATCATGTACTAGTCCAGCAAATACGTATTATATATTTTTTGTTTTCCTAAGTGTTCTGTTTTTGGTCCTCATCTTTTTTCTCATTCAAGCTTTGCCTAGGTTTGCAATCTGTCCCACTAATCTGATTAAACTACCATGTACATGCTGATGACTCAAACCTGTGTCTCCAACCCAGTTGCCTGCTGGGATCCAGCTTAAGATATACCCAAATTCTTACAGGTCCCCTGTTCACAATGTACCACAGGGTTTTTAAGCTCAACACATTTGTAACTATGTTTATCTTCTCCCCACTCCCCAACTTCACCTGCAAACCTGCTTCTCTAGCTTATTTTTCTGTTTTGGTTAATGGTATTAACACTTTCTAAGTTATGCAACCTAGAAAATTGGTGATGATGTTCTTCTTTCCTAATTGCTTATATCCCTGTAGTCTCTTATATTTATCTCACAGCCAATGCTGCATTTCAGTAATTACTCACTCATCAATTATCATAATTGTCTCTCAAATGCTAATTCTCTCTAGTATTTTCAGTCTTCTTTTAAGCTTCCACATTTTTGTAGATCACAGTGAGCACTGTGCTGCAGAGTCAACACTATATTATTTCCTTCAGGTAAAATGGAGTCATGGCTCCCTAATATCAAGCCAAATGAGTCGTTATTTCCAAGCAGAGAACTCAGGGGCTCTACGATCTGGTCCTGCTCCCCCTCCATCCATGTGACACTTCCTTACAGTTCCTAAAGCACTCTGGACTGACTCACATTCTGTCCTTTGTCTGTGTGGCTCCTCTTCCTTTCCTGTCTAGTCATTAAGTTTAAATTCAGGCTTCATCTCTCCTAGAAGTAAAAGCAGGAATTAAGTCCAAGTAGAGTTCGTGGTCTGGCTCTGTCTCATGAATTGGTAAGCTAGTATTCCCCATGTAACATACACTTACCATCATTCATAATCAAGGAACAGGAGAGTTGCAGAGAAGGCTTAATAAAGAAAATGTTGATGTTCAGATGTCTAGAATTTAGAGAGTGTGTGTTGCACCAGTGTTTAAGATTCCATTCATTAGAGGGAGAGGCTACAGGTAAAATATAAAGAAGAAAATCCATGCAGGACATTGTGCAAATCATGCAATCAGTAGTGCTTCAGTCACAGCTGGGCAACTGTAATACAGAGATTGGAAAGAGACATAGAACTCAGTATGTGTCCCACAGAGTGGGGTATGAAAAGTCCACTGCTGTTTAGTGTCCCAGTGGCATGTGGATTTGGCATGCTGAGCAGGAAAGCAGATGTCCTGTGGAGGGCACTTCTCACCATGTAGGTGAGGAGGAGATTCCTCAATTTATAAACAGTGAACATGAACAGCAAAGCAGGAGCAGAAGGAAAAAAAAACAAGTACGTTAGGAGGATATAAGACACTACCTGGGGACTCTCAGAAACACCAGAGCAGAGTTCATGGGGCGCTATTGTATCAGCTGGTTAGGGTGATTAATATGTTGATGTGACCACATTTCTGTTCACAAACTAGTGGGCTTGGAAGTTTCACTTGTTACACATTCTCATTCCCACTAGAATTTATTTATTTCTCTGCAGTGCCTCATCTTTTCCCGTTGTCTGCATAGCGTATAGAAGCCACATTTCAATAACACTATTTCACTTACATCTTCATATGTCTATCTCCCTGATTAAACTATAAGCTTTTTCAGGGCAAGCACCATGATCGTTCCTGTGTTTGCACTGACTAAATACAGTGCCAGGAAAAGAATAGCAGTTCATTAACACTAATTAACTAGAACTGAATTCTCTTAGAAACCTGAGAGGATTGGATGACTGAAGTATCATTTTCTAATTTGCAACTAAGAGGCAGCTAGCAAGTTTTCTCATAAACAAAGAAGTGATAACTATCAAAGCACTATTAATCAAAATGTGTTCCCTTTCCTACCAGGCTTTACTCATTAGGATGATGAGGGAGGGGATTTATGTAGGAGCATAAATCAAGAATCTTAATGCTGAAGAGAGTTGTATATTGCCAGAATTAGAAAAATGGCCCCTAGTTTAAAGGAAACAACAATTAAAGCTCTCTGTGCATAGAGTTCTTTCCAAGATCACTCAAGCTTTCTGTAACTATGGAAATGTTGAGATAAGTTTTAATATTGAAAAAAGGCGATTTACTTTCACTTTGAAGCATTGTTTGTGTCTTTTGTATCTAATTCCAGAATTATTTAGGCTTTCCTTGTTGCCATGTTACCGAAGTGTTCCTATAGTATGTGTGCATCAATGATAGATCTAGAAATTGTGTTTGGAAAACAAAAATCAATAAAAATTGTTTTATTTATATTAATAGTTGTAAATAATAAATATTCTTCTTATTGTCTAAAATTTCACCATATTGCGAAAAGAAACCAGGGTGGTTAGATATGGAGAGTTGGCAGAATCCATTCATGTCTGGGGAAGTAGGTGAGAGTTTTGGTTTTCACTAGATACCATGATTGTGTTGTCTAGAGTCATAAACATAGTTCTGCCTTTGGTTTTGCAACTAGAGCTAAAACTTCTGCTGGTTGGAATGTCTGTTACTTGTGAGAGAAATGATGGTAATCAATAAAGATATGCAGAAAACCTGCTATAGAATACGTACTCTCCAACTGGGCCTCAGTTGTTTTTTTTTTTTTAATTGTTCCTCCATAAGAAGAAGAAAAAGGAGCCTTCCCAGATGCCTTAGGCAGTTTAGAAAATTACCAAAGACTTCTTAGGTAATAGCTTCAAAACTCACTAAGATGTCTTTATGCTTTCAAATATTCTGCATGGGTGCTCATGAGTTCCAGTCTAGTAATTGTGTATGTTTAATATACCCCTTGTAGTTGCTTTTTATGCATTCAACTCATTTAATTATTTTAAAAGTCCTATAAGATAACACTATTTTCATCACCATTTTCCCATGAGGAAACTGAGCCTTAGGGAGTTGACAGAATTTCTCCATATTCATGTAATTAAGTAGCATAGGTAGAACTTGAACCCCATATCCATGAATAACACTGATTAACCACTAATTATATGACAAAAACCTTCATAGAAATACAATTTTTGGATATGTGAATATGGTAAAGATCAAATTTTTATAATGGGATCAGTTACTATATTTCACGTCTGTCGATTTTGCTTTAAGCTTGTAAAAAGTCGGACTAATTGAAATCATCAGTGAGAGATGATGGATTCTTTCCCAGATGGATTTCCAACTTTCTGTACTAATTTCCCTAATTCAAATTTTCTACCTAGGTTTCCATCTCTGAGCTAACAAAGATGTAGACTCTTCCTTCCAGGATCTCCACGTCTAGGAGGAAGAAACCTTTATAAATACCCAGCTGTGAAAAACCCTGAAAAGTGCTATAATAGAGATATGCATAAAAAGGACATGAGAGGCCCCCCAAGGAGATACTAACTATGACTGAAAATACCTACTAATTCTACCTGGACTTGACTAGGGGCTGGATGTCAGGTAGAGATAGAAATGCTGAGTCTTAGAGGCAAACGGGGAACATAAACAAAGTTGTGAACTTAGCTAGTGGACCCGTGCTCAGCATCAGAGATGCTTGGTCAAGACTTTGAGTAGGGTATACAGAAAGGGAAGTGAGGGACAAGGCTAGGATTTTGCTAGACACAAAACAAGTTGTTAAAGACAAGTTCTCCATTCCATTTAACATGTTCCTGCATTTGTTAATATAAGATTTAATCGTCATTATTGAGACAAACATTGACCAGAAGGAAGTACATCCACATTTAAACAAAAAACGTTTTTGATAGGTATTACAGTGACTACCTGCCTATTTAAAGGTAATAAATATTTCTTAAATGAATAGTCACATCATTAGTGGATATCTAGAACTTGTGTTGCATTTTCAAAATTGCTGATAGGTTTTTTTTGGTAAAGAATATAAACTAAATTTTAATGAGTTTTAATTTAAAGTAGTCTAAAA
This sequence comes from Homo sapiens, assembly GCF_000001405.40. Taxonomy (NCBI): domain Eukaryota; kingdom Metazoa; phylum Chordata; class Mammalia; order Primates; family Hominidae; genus Homo; species Homo sapiens. The sequence goes on along the minus strand of NC_000002.12, from coordinate 22,459,969 downwards.
TGTGAATGTTTTCCCCTAACGAGGTGAGTTCTAATTATTGTCACCGTAGTTCATGTTTGGTAATGGCCAGCATTGCTTTGGATAGTTCATTAAATCATGAAGTGATTGATTTTCTTTTCCTTTTCTACTTTCAAGGGGATTATTTCTACCAAATATAATTGTCCTTTAGTGAACAGTGTTAGTTTGATGTACTGTGAACTTCCTTGGGGATGATCAGCCTCTGTGAATAGTAGCATTAATCTAGTACAGAAACATTAGTGGCTTGTAAGGATTAATTCTATTTTAAGAACCTTTTACGAACCTTGAGTGTACACATGCTCCATAATAACTTGTTTCCAATTTCTCAACTGTCACATCTTTAATTTGGTTATTCACATTGTTTCTTCACAGTTGTTGATTCAAAAATCTGCTATACATTCTTTACATAATGTTTTAAACCATTTCTATTGTTCTGAGAACGAAAAATGGACGGCAGACATGCCACTGATGTTTTAAAGCACATGCATCAAAGATAAAACCAATCTTTTGAGTTTCCTTACTGCTGCAGCAAATACGTTTTAGTACAGGCTTTCCCTGATTAAGTTCTGTTTCTTCTATGTTGTCAGCAGAAATTTAGTTTTAAATTTTAAATTCAGATTTCTAAAACAATTATCACTTCACCTGGGCATTCCAACAAGTTAATCAGTGGTTGAATTGAAATCATCATCAACTCATCAAGCAATTGCACAGAGAGTATCTGATAATTTGGTTCAAGTCAATTAATCCCTAGTGGAATGAAGTGGCAGCAGATGGAGATGGAGGGAGTCGCTCCTATCCAACTCATCATTGGTCCCAACTCATCAAGAGACCAGTGAGCTTTCTTCCGGGTACTTACAGTGGACTGCACAAAGGCCATGCCATTTTCCTATTTAGCATGATGAATTATAAGATTCTCCAGGAAAATATTTGCATTGTGTAATGATCATAGGCAGGAAATGTTTTTCTTTGTATAGGGCTATTGAACAGCACAATTGGTGTGCCTGTCTGTTTCTGGTAGGTATTATTAAAAATAAATAAATAAAAGGGAAGCATAGTCTGATATTATGCTTTGGATTAATTCTAATTGATCCTGGAGAATTTAGAACTTAAATCTGGAAAGGTTAACATATGAAGTAAAGCTCCTTAAAAATAAATGACTTTTCTATTGACTGTTGTGATGGCAATGACATCTCTGGATGTAATAGCCTTTTTATCCAGAAAGATCCTCAAATTGAATGTGGGGATGGAGCAGAGCTTTAGCTCATTATCATTTGTCACATCTCAGATCTTGTGAGTGATGGTTAGTATTGTTTGCTGCCACACCAGTGCAGCTCTAAGCACTTAATAGAGTATACGTGTCATTTGGACATAGAAAAGCATACTTTACAACCTCCCTCTGGTGAATGTTTTCTGGATGAAGACCAACATAGACTAATAGTAACTTGGTAAATTAATGAACCCTTTACTCTTCTTTTGAAATTCTTTGTATACTCAAGTAAATCTTAGTTCTGGAAGGCTATTGCTTTCACATTAGAAAGCATCCATTGTTTGAAAAATTGAGGGGAATGGGCATGCCAGTGTATCACAGTGGCTGCAGTCAATCATTTACTTTTTCACATGTACAATTAATCAATAATTTTGATTAAGCATACTTCATGTGGATAATGAGAAGTGGAAATTTGAAAGATAGAATTCCTTTGTGCAAGGTTTACAGCCATCATTCAATGAACACGATGATTGCTTTTATGTTAGAAGAGGAAAAAAGAGGAATCAAGAATTTAAGCGCCATCAAAATAAGCACTGTGTCATATCTCACCCACCTCCCTGGCTTGCACAGGGCAAAGCCTGCATCAGACACTTGCCAAAATGCTCATGGATAATTGCGAGGCCAGGGTTGCAAGTCTGGGCTTTCTTGTTCTGTGATCCCATACTTACCATAGTGATGCAGAAGGAGGGCTGTGGATGGCTTGAAGGTATTAATGTTCTTGTTTTATTTGATAAACATTTCTTAAAAAGCTAGGAATTGAGGGTCTGTTTGGGCTAAATGCACAATAGTTAATTTGAAGAAGTTCAAATCCTTGGATCAAGCCAGAACAATGGTGTAACTATGTACACTGCTAATTTCTCAGTCTTAATTTTATTGCAGTAGAAGGACACTTTGAAAGTTAACAGACATGATGCCGAATTCTCTAAGTAATTCAATGTTTTTAAAAGGCAAATCTGTTAAAAATCTGATTAATATTCTGCTTTGTAACTTACATAATCCATATTCAATCTCTTAATGAGCTTTTGATTGTCACAGTGTTCCCTGTACATACTTGAAGGTGAATTTAAAACAAAAGTAGTGGAAAACAATAATGAATATCCAAATACTTTCTATAAAGGTCATTCAATAAATAATCAATATTATATATATATATATTTGTGCATTTGCTAAATATACCATGTATGTCTATATATTGATTATTGGCAGTATGACTACCTTGACGTAGGATTTAAGGAAAAGGATATTACATGAGCTGTTAGTCATAGTTCCCAGGATATTAGTGTAGCTTTAAGGATTGTATGTTTATATATCTCGCAGAATCAGCCTGAGAAATAATAGTGCATTGACTGTGTGCATGTAATTATAAAGTAATATAGTGAGGATTTTCCCTCAAATCCATAACACATTAACATATCCTTAAATAATATGATTTATCTTTTAGATATATTGCAAGCATGGTTATTGGTCAGGACAAAGAAAATCGAGAATCTTCTAGTAGACCATTCATAATTTCACCATACAGACTATTATTTAGGAATTAAACACATTATAGGCCGGGCGCAGCGGTTCAGCCTGTAATCCCAGCACTTTGGGAGGCCAAGATGGGCGGATCATGAGGTCAGGAGATCGAGACCATTCTGGCTAACATGATGAAACCCCATCTCTACTAAAAATACAAAAAATTAGCCGGGCGTGGTGGCAGGCGCCTGTGGTCCCAGCTACTCGGGAAGCTGAGGCAGGAGAATGGCGTGAACCCAGGAGGCAGAGCTTGCAGTGAGCCAAGATCGCGCCACTGCACTCCAGGCTGGGTGACAGAGCGAGACTCCATCTCAAAAAAAAAAAAAAAGAAAAAAAAGAAAAAAAAAGAATTTAACACATTATATTATGATTATATATTTGAATGTTTTTCTTCTTTACTAAACCTTTGTTCTTATCCATTCTATCTTTGAAGACCAACACCTTACATATGGTCTTTATATAGTAACAAATATTTATTTAATGGATTAGGATATTAATTATCTGTTTTTCAGAATTTACCTTATTCTTCTGACTACTAATGTAAAGAGAAACAATTAGAACAACGAAGTATTTTATTATTTTAACAGCTAGACCAAAACTACAAAATTTATTTTTGTCTAGCATTCCCCAACACTGAAATGAGAAACATTGAATTCCACCTATTATCTACTAGGGACTGATTTTAGAATTACTCATTTAGAAAAAAAAATGTGCAGCCAAGATGTATATGTTCTACAAAAGTCACTCTGAGATGGCAGACAGATAACTTGATTAAAAAAAAAAAAGATATGTTCAGATCCCTGTTGTAACACCCCTACCCTAAGAAGTAGAACCCAAAAACAACTTTAGGGGTAAAAAGTCTGTTTCTATGAGTACAGTATGGTGATAGATGCTCCCATATCCAGCCAAGAAAATAAGTCGGGCTCTTTTATTTGCATAATTGAATGTCATCTTTGTCACCTGCTCATCTTATTGGTCAAAAACACACAGATATCTACAGTTCAGCATCAGATATCAAATTGATCTTTGCTTGATGGTTCATGGGTTTCTAAATATTTTCCAAGATGTTTATTTATTCTACTTTAAATGTAATTTTATTATAAATGACCTCAAATGATCTTGAAAGTAGCCATAGTATACGTTATATCCATACAGTGCTCACATCTGTTTGTGTGACAAAACGTATGCATTTATAGTGATATCTAGCCATGCAAATTTATTGCATAAATAGCTGGCCATGAATTTTTGAGACTTTGAGAAACTTTTCTGGTGTAGAAGAGATATACAGTGGATCATCAAACACAGATAGGATTTAGATACATATTTACTTAGCATTTCAGGTGCAATCCATTGGATTCTCTTACTCATGGCCAATTAGAATGGTCTGAATGACACTTTAGTGGAAATATAATAGAAGGAATAGAAATACAATACATGGAATTTAAGTTTTTATGGGCTGGAATAAATAGCTTATAAACCAGATGTTCTAAGGTAGGAAATTTTTCCTTTGAGGCCTTTCTCAGCCTGTGATAATTAATCGAGATGCTTAAAGTATGGCCAAAAAGTGAATTAATCATTACAGGTAGTGTAACCAGAACTTGGAATTACAATCTTCTTTTATTTATCATTTGTTCATAGCTCCTCTTATATTTGCTAAGACCTTGTCATATGAATAAATGCCATTTTTAACCCTCATATATGTCAATAATCTACCATACATTTTGAATATAATTAATTGAAGGTTATTTATTAAAGAAGGTGGTGTTTATAAATATAGTATATATTTAATTTACTCTGATTCCTGCCTGAGGAGTTATCTTGCTAACTTAATAGCCTTTACTGAATCCCAAGAGAAGTGCTGACTCAGTCACTGCCAGGTCTGAATTAATTACAGTCTATTTTGCATTATCTGTGGTCTATGGATTTATGGTTAGAGAGGAAGCATCTTGCAAAGGACCTTTGAGCAGATGTGTAGAATTATTTGGATCTCAGAAGACAGGAAATAGCAAAGCTATCCTTCTGTTTACTTCTGTAAAGACTGGACCTTGTCCATGCAATTATATCTGCGTGTTAGGAAGGAGTACTGAATCCTAACTTCTCATATCAACATGTGGAGGCTCTCCAGCTGACTAACACTTCTGGCTTTTCTCTCCACCCCTCATCCCTGCAAGAGAAGAGGGGTGCATTACCAGAATGATGGTTTGGAAGGAATTTAGCATGCTCAGCTTATGCCATTCTGTTTTCCTCTTTAGCATCTCCCAGCTAAAGATGACACATTATGATCTTCTTTTTTTTTTTTTATCATTCCTGATAAAGGACTCTTCGGCTTTATTAAGTACTGGATTCTGGCGACATAACTTGGCTCCAGATAAATCCATTAGAGTTACGATTGGTGTGTTTTCTATGTGTGCGGTGATAGCCCTAAATTCTTTGGACTCCTTAATGCAAGAGGCATATAAGAAATGTGATATTGAACAAAAGCAACTTAGGTGGTCCTGAGGGAACAAACCCTTTCCAATGTGTAACATCCCAGGCTGCAACAACTGAATGCTTACTTAAAGGATGGAACATATAAGAGGAAGTGGTTCTTTTTCTTAAGTACAGAAATGCCTTCAAATTGATTAATGTACTGTTTTGTCTCATTTTGGAGCCTTCCTGGAAGCATTTTAAACTCTCCACCAGTTGTATCAAAAAGATGTACAAAACCAGATACTCAGTTCTGTGGGAACATTCTAGTGAAGATGCAAGTAGAGGATACTTCCATCACGGCTTAACGATCGACTTACCATGTAAGATCAAGAGCTAAGTGAATAGAAAGCTGAAGTGTTAAGAAGTTTATATACTCTTTATGTTTTCCTTTCATCTAAACTCAAGTTCTTGGCCTACTTTCATTGTGCTAAATCGTTTGGTTGATATCCTTGGATGTAGTAGTTGAGCATGCTCTGCAAAGGCTAACTTATGTCTCCTCTTTCAGGCTGGTTCACCTGTAGAAGGAGTAAAAGTTAGTTTGTAATAATCCATGCAGTGAGGTGCATCTCTTTGAGGTGGAGACTTGAACTTGTCCCGTTTTGCCAGTCATAGTCGAATCAGTCTGTTTAAGATTAGGGCAGTGAGTATTATTCAGCTCTTTTATGGGAGGATCTAAGGTTACATTGTCCAGCTGATTTTACTGTAAATGCACCTAATGTGTTCATCTCTATTTTTCTGTCTTTTGTGTTTCACATTTGGCTCCAATCTCAGGGAGTGAAGACAGGGCAATGCTTGCTAGCTCCTTACAGCCCCAGCCACAAATCATGAGATGAGAAGAATAAAGTTATGCAGGTAGCAATCAACTTTAGTTCATACTATAATGCCTACCTCAAATATGAACATAAATTAAGGAGACTGCTATATGGTTAAAAAAAATTTCAGCCTCTTCACAATAGTTTCTTTTTAATCCAGTGTAATTAATACCTGTGCAAAGCTTCCGTTGAGACAACTGAACAATTCCATTTTCTTTGATTTAAGTAAAGTTTATCTAAAAAATTCCATCTGAGATAGATAGCAGATTTTGTAGGAAATTATAGTATATTGTATTATTCTTCCCAAGTGTTTGCTACCCTTCTCTATTAGATCCTTCATTGAAGGGCCCCTCCCTGCAAGAGGAATATAATATCACCTTTCACTGATGTCAGGCTTGGCCATGTGACTTGCTTTGGCCAATAGAAGGCCAGCAGAAATGAAGTAGGCTACATCTGAGAAGTTCAAAGAGCCATTCCTTAACCCACCATTGATTCTCTCCCTGTGCCATGAGACTACATGTTCGAGATGCAGGCAGGCTGCTTCTTCAGTCTGGATTCCAACCAACAAAGGTGAGAAATAGGCCATTGTCCTCATCAGCCACTGAGATTGGGAGTTGTTTGTTACCATGACATAGCCTAACACAGGTGATTAACACAAAATCAACAATGGGCATTCACACACATATTTCCTCTTTCACCATTTATGTCTAAAAAAAATTATCCTTAGTACTCTACCCGCCCATTTTGTTCCTGCTTTATATCTGATTTTCTGCTCATTTGTGCCTTTTTGTTGTTTAGACTTATCAGCCCACTTCCTTTAAAAATGGCTCTACCAGAAATCTGGTCTCATCCAGAGTTAAAAAAAAAAAAAAGTCATTTTCCTCAAATTGATTCACTGGGTGGAGTTTATATCCAACTTGTTTTATTTTTGAAAATGTCATGAGAAACTCTTGACATTGAGAATTTTTAAAAATCTTTGCTTATAAACATTCTTTGGTCTCTTAGCACTGTCATACCACAGAAGAGAAGGAGGACGTGTATAAGATTTATATAGCTGACAGAGATTTCTATGTACTGTATGCACTACATTTATATTTTCAGCTTAAATCATTGAGTGATTATTTTCTGAAAGAATTTTGTCTTTCTTGGGGGAGGCTGAAAATCATGTCTACTCGATGATTTATCAAGTGAATAAGTAAGTGAAAATGAACAGACTGGTACTGATTTTTACCATAGGTAGCAAATTATGAATAATGATTCTTCCATGCTTGAACTCTCTTGCAGTGATTCTGCAAATAATTCTAGTTTTCTCAGGTTGTTTCGGCCAAATGGATTTGCATAGGCAGGAGAAGCTAAAAGACAGCAGGATAGGCTTGAAGCCCTGTGTCAGAGGGCACGCTGGAATTTTATTAGAAATATGGGCTTGACTGCCATTAGGTGCCCTTCGTTCATCACTGTCTTATGCTTGTGGCTTCATAAGTGAGGGGAAGACTAGAAAATATTTAGTGTCATGTAGCAAATAAACAAATATATGGGTTCAAAGAACTTTTAAAATGCATCTTAAAATGTCAAAGCATTTACTATTCAACAGAAGAGGGTTAAGAAATCTGTGGGATCTATCACTTCCTACCTTTATAGATACCCTCTTTGATAGATACATTCTTTGAGAGCAAATTAGTATTCTCATTTTTCCAAGGTATAGCCTTTTTAGTATGTTAGATATTACCATATGCCATTTCCTTTTTTCTAGGTCAAAAACAGTTGAAACTTGGCAATTTCATTTTGTTTAAGCAAATAACTTCAAGTTTGTAATCCAACTGCACTTCATGACAAAATAACTATTTTCAAATGTGTACATCAGATTCAATATGCAGAATGTGCATTTGTAAATTTTTAACTACTAATTTTTATTAATATGCCATAAATCATTTATAGGTTACATGTTTTTGTTCCTAAATATCATAACTTTTAAATTATGGTTTATTTGTTGATATGCCACAATGTATTAAAATATCTTAATATTAAATACATAGTTTACTTTCCTAATTTTTTGTCATTGTTGATGGTGGTGGTAGACTGAATTTTGTTTGCTTTAGATTTAGCAGGTTAGAGTGAAATGTTTCATCTTTATAGGTTACAGTAAAATGCCCCTCCCCAAAAGATATTGTGTGCACATATTATGTGTATTATATAGTTTTCTTTTACCAATATCTCTATGGCTTTATATTATGTCATTTTGCTTTCTGAAAGTACTAATGTTAAATGGCATTACAATTTATCAATTATCTATAATTGTGCTTGCATTAGATAATTATATTATCTTTATCTTCATATGTTAATACATCTATAACATTATCTCATTTGCTATAATTTGAATTCTGGTATTTCTAGAGAGATCTAGTGTTTTCAGGTAAATTTTTTGCTAATATATTGGGGTAATTTATTCTATTATAGTCTTTAATTTTTTCCGTATCTTGATAATTTTAGCACGGACACGTGCAGAGGTGTTTAACAAATGTGGGGTGGGATGGTGGCAAGGAAAGCCAACGTGTGTGAAGAAGCAAAGGTACTCTGAAAAGAACAACACTGGGAAAGGGGGAAATTTGCCAGAGGAGGCTAAGTGTGACAGCAGCTCAGAGATGCAGAGATACAGAGAAAGTGTGCAGATGCGTCTGGTCTCTTCTTGTGCCTAAAAGAATCATCTGCCTGTCCCTGACACTCCTTGAATTTGTATCTTTGAAAGGAAAAAGCTATAATAAAAAGGAAAACAGGCTCAATTCTGCTCTGTGGCCCTCCTCTGAAAGATTCTGCCGTGAGAAGAGACACAGTTCTCTAGAACAAAGGGGTTATTATAGACATCTGAGACTGGCAAGCTGCCCAAGCTGGCAACATATTAAAAAACACATTCCGCCCCCCCGCCGATCCGCCACATCCACACACACACTACGGGATGCTCCAGGGATTCAGGACAGATCAGGGTCTCCACCTGTGCACCTCTAGCTAAACATGGTGGCTCTCAGATCGAAAGAGGTAGCAGGCAGCAATGTGGTCAGGAGTATGTGATGGAAAGGACACTTGTGATCTGGAGGAGGTTAGCAGTGATACAGGAGGGGAACTGGTATGAGCTGGGCAAAAGCAAAAACAGAGAGAAAAAAGAGATAGCGGCTGCCATGGAGGCACGATACAGACCTCAGCAAAATTTCTGGCTTTTTCTTGAGCCCTTCAAACTCCCACCTGGGGAGACCTGTGGAGCCACAGAAAGGAATATACTGAGGTTCTGGTCTTTCCAGAATATTCTTAGTTGTATAAGTTGTGCATATATATGTATATATGTATACGTATACATATATACATATGTATATGTATATATGTATACGTATACATATATACATATGTATATGTATATATATGGCCATATATATATGGCTATATATATGCAACTTATATATAATATATATGCAACATATATATGTACCTTTATATATATATATTTGTATATAGTCAGATTCCAAAGAACAATTGTTTTCTGCAATTTAGATCTGTACAGAAATCTCAAACATCTCTTATGTTTTGCCTTCTAGTCTAATAGATTTATGTGTTCTTTTATTCAATTCTTTAAAGTAGTTCAAAAAGCAGGGTATTTTTCTCTTTTCTTAATAATTTAAACTAATTCTAGTGAAACAGAGAAATTTTAGAAAATGCATATGTAAAATTTCAAGAATAACGATATGGCTACCCACATAGTCAAAACTCAGTTTAATAAAAAGAATGTCACCAGGACTCTAGAAATGGTCAGGGTGTCCCTCACTGACAGCATAGTGTTATCTGTCCCCCAGGTAACCACGATTTTGGATTCTGCTTTCATCAGCCTCACACTTTAATTAAAGGTAGTTTATCTTCTATTCATGCACACTTCAAGAACATGTGGCTTGAATGCTTCTTTGATTTGCCTCTCTGCAGCAATATAATGCTTCAATTGTTTATCCGTGTGGTTACAAGTCACTGTGTAGTCCTAATGTAGTTAACATTTTAACTGCTGTAAGAATATTCTAGAGTTTATCTGTCATTGATAGATATTTGGACATTTCCTTTTTTTGCCTTTGTGAAAAAGGGTGATACGAACATTCTTGTATATGTCTCTCACTGCACGTGGTCACGAGTTTCTCTGTCATGTTTCCCTAGAAGTAGAATGGAGCATTACTCAGTAATGTTAAACCCTTTTCCAAAGTGGTTGTGCCAATGTACAATTGCGCCGCAATAAATAGATGAGTTTGTTTTGCTAAGGAATTTCTCCAACATCTGGTACTGTTCAAGTTTTTAATGTTTACCAATCAGGGATGTGAAATGGTAGCTAATTTTTTTTCACATACCATGTTTAAAAATTACACGTTTCTCATTGTCAATGAGACCCCAACTATTTTCAGACATTTATGGCTCATTCTTATTTTCTCTTTTCTTCATGCCTTCTGTATATGTTTCTGTAAAAATATTTGGCTTTTTGTATTGCTTTGAGGTAATCTTTTATGATAAAAGTTTAATAATTTATCATATGATGTGCAAATATCATTCCAAAGTAAAGCTTGCCTTTTACTCACTGGGTCATAACAGAACTTCTTAAATTTGTGATCTTTTCTCTTAGTGTTCACACATTTTTGGTGTTTAAGAAATTCCTTGTTATGAGGTCATGAACACATTTCTTTTTCTTGTTTCCTAAAAGTTTTATAATGTTGCTTTTTACATTTAAGTTTTTATTCCAATTAAATTATTATTTATAGGGGTAAAGATAAATTAATTATTTTGTATAGATAACCCACTACTCAAGAAAAATTAGGTAGTCTGTTTTTTTCCTTACTGATCTGGAGGGTCAGCTCAACTATAAATGTTGTTTGCACATGTGCATAAATTTTAAATAGCACAGTTTATAGTAAGTCTTGCTACCTGTTAGGGCAAGTCACCCCATTTCTCTTTTAGGAGAACCCTGTTCTTCTTGTATTATCATAGAAATTTTAGAAAAAAATTTGTCATTTCCATGAACAATTCTGTAGATATTTGGTTTGGAATTTCATTAAATCTAAAAGTAAAAATAGAAAAAATTTACATTCTCATATTCAGTCTTCTTGTCCTATAGGGGAATATATTTCTTATTTTTAGGTCTTCTTTAATATCATCAAAAGTATATAATTTTTTTAAAGAATTTGTGCATAGACGCATGTAGAGCATTATTTCAAGTCTATTATAATTTTTCTTTCTATTGGAAACAGCATTCTTCCCCCTTTCAGTTATCAAAGTTCTCCACTTGCAATTTTCCCTTCATCATCCCTTCCTACAAAATCCCAACCACTGTCTTTACTTCTAGTAACATATGTTAATTTTGAATGTTTTTGAACTTTATAATTTGAATTATCCTGTACACCTTTTTGTCTCTGGCTTTTTTGGTTCAAGAGTGATGACGATGATATTGATTATGTTTATATAATATCCAATTCTAGTAATTTATGTATCTATATGGATGAACATGTGGCTGGTCTCCATCTTTTGATTATTAGGAAAATTTGTGCTACGAACATAGCTATACCAATTTCTGGAGTACATATGTATATATTCGTGCTGGGTATATACGTATAAGTGAAAATGTGATAGCATAGAATATGCGTATGTTCAGCTTTTGCAGATACTGTCAATTTTTCAAAAAGTGGCTAAATAATTAATCCTGATGTAGTAATGTATAAAAGTTTCAGTTGCTTCTTGCTTTTCTCTCGGTATGGATAGGCATTTTGTTATATTTTATTTTTTGACGGGTGTATAGTTGTGTCATTATGGTTTTAATTTATATCCCTCTGATATTTTATAAGAATGAGCAGATTTTCATATGTCTTTTGGCCATTTAATATATTCTTTTGTAAAATGCCTGGTTATGTCTTTTAACATTTTCTTTATTTATTTAAACAAAAATTGGATTACAAGTCATTTCCTAATTGATACGTATAAGACTTTTTCATATCTGCCTAAGTCCTCTATCTTGTGCAATCTAAATATTCTCTTCCACTTTTGATTTGCCTTTCACATTATTAATGGTGTCTCTTGATAAACAGAAGTTCTTAATTTTAATACAGTTTCTTTAGCTATTTCCTCTGTGCCACTGTCTTCTTATGGAACTTCTATCAGGCATTTATTATAGGTTCTTCTTCTATACTTTATGTTTGCTATATCTTAGTTTCACTAGTCTGCATCATATATAATTTCATCAAATGTGTTTTCTATTTACCAATTCTTCCTGCAGCTGTATCTAATCTATTGCTTACTGGTTATATTAAGTGTCTAGAAATTTTACTTATAGAAGTTCTGTTACTCATTTTCAAATCAATTTGTTCCTTTTTATGATTTCTTTTAGCTCATGAAGTCATTTATAAAAAGTACAACATTTTTATGAGATATATTATCTCTGTTGTTTTTAATATCTGAAGTACATGTTAGATTAATATGGATAACTATTTTCTGTCTCTTTATCATTTTTCTTTTTAAAATTGTAGACAATGAACTGATATTTTTTCTAAAACTTCATTTGTGGAAAATGTTTGAGAATCAAATAGAAGTTGTACTCTTCCAGAGACAATCACTTTTTAGCTTTTCCAAGCACTCAGAGTTACAGGAGAGTTATTTCAATGAAATTCTGCCCTTGAATGTTTTGGATTCAAGGTAATTTGGTTTACAAACTCATTGCATTTTGGACTTGGCTGAATGAAGATGTCCTCCCCTACATCTAGCCTCAAAATCTAGGCATAAGATATGCTTGCTATTTCTCTATATGTAGTAGGTTTAGATTTTGTTTACACTTAGACTGAGGGTACACATCAGGAATGCAGGTTTCTGTGAAGTTTTCCTGACAGACTGTCTTGGATGGCCCTAGGCCTCCTCCTCCATCCCAGAAATTTGTGTGGCTCAAGATCTCCAGGAATTTTCAGAAATGCTCTGGATAAAAGTTGTTTTGGGTACAATTTACCTATGAGTTTCTGGTACTTTGTTTTTGTCTTTGGTCTTTGCAGATATTTACAATTTTTACCTGATTGACAATGTGTTTTTAATAATTGCTTTTCTGTTTTAATCAGTGTTATTATTATTTATTATTGCTATAAGAAAGACCATTCACTGTATCTGGTCTACCATGCAGTTAGAAATAGAAGTCTAGTTATCTTGATAACAAAACTGTGTGCATATAAAACTAGATTTTGTGCTTTATTTTTGAGAATAAATGGAATCTTTTGTTCTATCTTATCCCTTCTTTATCCAATTCTTGTACAGGAATATTACTGAGGTTTGTTTACTTGTTTTGTTTAACTAAAATTATTTTATCAAATATAGTTTTTAAAAATCGATTCCCTTAGATTTTTTTAGGGATGAAGTTATGTTAGTCATAGGTGATTTTTTTTTTCTAGTTTTCAGTAGATTTTTATTTTATTTTATTTTATTTATTTTATTATTATTATACTTTAAGTTTTAGGGTACATGTGCACAATGTGCAGGTTAGTTACATATGTATACATGTGCCATGCTGTTGTGCTGCACCTATTAACTCGTCATTTAGCATTAGGTATATCTCCTAAATCTATCCCTCCCCCCTTCCCCCACCCCACAACAGTCCCCAGAGTGTGATGTTCCCCTTCCTGTATATAGTATCATAATTATTTATAATGCTAAGTAAATATCTTTGTATTCTATCATTAACTTAAATTTTGTCATTTAAGTACATTAGAAATATTTTTACATACTGACTTAACATTTTTATATTTTGTTTATTTAATTAGAATATTTTATTTTGAACACTTGCTTTTTCTCCCTATTAACTTTTTCCCGTGGTCCCTACTTAGAAGGCTATTTCCAGAGCAGACAAATATACACTGATGTTCCTGTAAAATAAAGCAAGTGAGCCAACTAATAGAGCTCCCAATGGCAAAAGCTGAAACAATCTGAGTGACAAATGAAATAGTACTGAATTGCTAGCGAAAATATGAAATAAATATCCATCAGAACATACTGATGTAAACAAATGATTAAATTAATTATTAAATGGAGGAGAACAGACAAATCTTCTATGCAAAAAATTCTAAATAAGCTATTTAAATATTCCACCTGCAAAGAGAGGGAAAATAACTTCTCTCCCCTTAAATTGTACTTTGCATAGTGACATTCTTCCAAATAATATAGTATGGAAAGGGGAAAAGAGAGAAACAGTGCAGTAGAGAAAACCAACAAACATGACTTCAGCCAAAAGGTGACCAAGGTCAGCATCAGCAGTCATAAATTATGTTGATAGTTTTTACCCTTGATATAATGTGATGGAAATGACACTTTACCTCGGTTATGTTCCTCCACAAAACCCCTAGTCTCAGTCTAACCATCAGAAATAACATCAGACAACTATCAATAAAGGAAAACCCTGTAATGCACCTGAGAAGTACTCCTCAAAACTGTCAGTCATCAAAAACAAGAAAACTGTCAAAAATATGCGGAGAATAAAGAGACGTGACAACTAACTAGTATGGCGTCCTAAAAGGGATCTTGAAAAAGAAAATAAAAAAAAGGATATTAGGAGAAAACTAAGGAAATTTGAATGAACAATGGCCTTGAGTTAATAAAAATGTGTCAATATTGGGAAACTAAATGCCCTATGGAATTCAGTTAATAATATGTCAAAACTGGTTCATTAGTTGTAACAGATGTAACGTACTTCTATAGGATGTCAATTATGGGTGTGGGACATACGGGGATTATCTGCACCATCTAAATTTTTCTATAAATTTAAAACTGTTCTAAAAACTAATGTCTATTAAAAAATTAATAAAGCAGGTGAAATGTGTAGTTGATGTGTTGAGTAAGTTGCTGTCAATTCAGTTCTGAATATCCCTTGACTCAAATACATTACCATTATCAATGAATGCCTACAAGTTACTTTGGAACTAGTACATCAAAATGAATGAGGATTGTCCAATTTGCAATACAAGCGAGTATCTCTAAAAAAAGGAGCAAGGTAATTGAAATAATAATTATCCATTATCATTTATTATAGCCTGTTATGGGAGCTAGTGCTCCAACCTAGCAGAAATGTGAACTTTTATAAATATTGAATGATAATTAATCAAAATGAAATACTTTGCTCCAAGATATAAACTTTAGTTCTTTAGAAAATTAATTGAATTTAAAGTAGTATTTTTGTAGGTTTGGGTAAGTATTCATTAATACTGGGGGACATTTACAATTGCAAAACTTTCAGAATATTTAATAGAAATGCAGACTCACAGAGCTGGAAGGGAGTTCATCTGAAGTCTCTCATTTACTCCCTGAAGGAGAGAGATGATCTGGCCAAGACAGTTGCAGTGTTCATCACAGAACTCAGAATGCATTTTACTTTTCTACTACAGATTAGAATTTGAAGCCAAGACATTTGGGCTTGGGTCCTAAATGTCCTATTCTCATATAGTCTCATCACAGACGGTATGAGAATAAGCAGGTTTTTTAACTTTTATATTTCTAAGTATTCATTTTTTCATGATAAAATGAGGATGAGAATGATATAATAACAATTTTCCAAGTAGTTCATAATGCTGATTAAACTTTCTCTGACATTATGTACTGGAAAGACATTTGACTACTCTAAATCAAACATGGTAATATTGTTCTTAGTTTATTAAATGTTATCAACTGTCTCCCACATCTGATTTTCTCATTGTGGATGGATAAATTAGTAACTAAGCCATGAAACCTATTCTCAGAATTTGTAGAATTTATTTTATATATAATCAGGTTTGGATAGCTTCAAAACATTTCATTAATTTCTGTGCCTGTCCTTCTCCTTCTTCAACTACTTCTCCTTCTTTTGTTCCTCCTCCTCCTCCTCCTCTTCCTCCTTTCCTTTTTCTTCTGCTCCTCCTCTTCCTCAGCTACCACCAGCTTTTCCTCTTCTTCCTCTTCCTCAGTACTTTAATTTGACTTATTGGGTTTGATAGTACTGTGAGTAAAAGAGAATATGTCTTTGTAACATTAGACTGTCCTGATCCTTTTTGCTTGTTATAGTTACTCTCTTTTCCAATGTCTTCTGCCATCATATCTTCTTCTGGTTTTCCTTTTACTTCTTTGAGCAGTCCTTTGCAATCTTTTCTTCCTCCCATGCCTTAGACAATAATATTACTTTGAGTCTTATGTTGAGTATCCTTATCTTCTCATTACACATATACTTCCTAGATAGCTTCATTTAATTTTTACCATCCCAAATTTAGAATACACAGCAATGAACTTTAACTTTGTATCTCTAGCCCAGATCACTGTCTTGAATTTCAGACTTATAAACTAATTATCTACAGGCATTCCTCCAAGAATATCTAATAGTCACATTAAATCTAAAATATCCAAAGATAAAGTCATGGCCCCATATTCCCTCTAATTTCCATAACCTTCCTCCTAAATTGGAACTCATAATCATCTATCATACAAATCAGAAATCTTAAAGCAATATCTTCCTCTGTTTACATTCTCATTTCTAATTGTGAAACACATTTCATTGCATTTATTTCCTAATTAACTGTTAAATCTCTCCCCTTTCCATCTCCACTTTCTCTGTTTAGGATAAGGTTTTCATTTTCTCTCCTGTGCCTTTACAATAATCTCTTAAGTTAGGTGACTTTGATTTGCTTAATTTATTTATATATTTTATACTTTTATTATGTTTCTAAATGACATGCTATGCCATGTAACTTCTCTGCTTAAAACTAATTCAGTGGCTCCCTGTTTATAATCGATCAATTAACAACCAAATTTCCTAGACAGTAATCAAGGATCTTCATTATCTGGCCTCTGAGAGTCTTTCCAGCCTCATCTTTCTCCAGTTGCCACATTCTATTATTAATTCCCCAACTGAAAAAGCCTTTTCATAATTGCTTACTTTGCCTGGGATGCCTTACATACAGTTATTCTAAAATGTTAAAGAACCAACTCAAATGTTGCTGCTTATAACTCCTCAAAATGTAGTGGTCCTCACCTAATAGTTTCTTTGTCATGGTAATAAAATTAGATTTTACATATTAATTTCCATCACTAGACTATACTGCACCATAATATACTACAAGGTAGAATAGTCATCTGCTCTTGGGAATTCACTCAACAAAATTAAATTAGAAGTGTAAAGTGGTAGAAGATTCCCTTTGGTGTATATTGCATGAATAGTTCTAACATAATTAATAATATCTAGATCTGTGAAAATTGGTATTTTTATTAATATTAGAGTATGATCAATTGTCATTGCCTGTCAAAAGAGAAGCGAAAGATCAGCTGGTATTTAGTAGGAATCCTTTGTCCAAATTCCCTTCCAATAAAATGATTTTTAAATTTGAGAATAAATGTAAACATTTCATTTTAAAAACATTTATTTAAGTGTAGCTTATACTTCTTTTTTCCTATGATGTCTTTTCAGGAAAACTTCTGGTCACTGGTGTTACACCACAAAAAAGTTGTTAAGGTTGGGTCTGCTAATGAACTCTGCAAACACATTCAGCATCTGGCAGACATTCCAAGGTGAAAGCCAAGCAGATGGCTAATTTAATATAATCTAAGTGACTTTGGATCAGATAAAGCAATTGAATTAACAGCACTTTAACTCCACATACATCAGTTCCCAGCTATTCCTAACATTTCATTCCAATAGGCACGTCTTCAGGAAGAGAATCAGTGCTAATTGAAAGCTCATATGGTGATGTTTATATCTGTAAAATGTGTGGTTAAACAGCATATTAAAAACATGTGGGCATAAATATTAGGATTGGGAAATGGGTTTAATATGGAATAAATCATAATGCCCTTAGAGTGACTTTATGGATTTTAAATCACAAATTGTATTCTATCCATTGCGCCTACTATATTTATCTCGATTTCATTCAGACTGTTTGGATTAGATCTATGGGGATTTATGGGTGATGCATAGTGACTTTCAACTTTCTATCCTGTGGGGTAAGAGTATATATGTGTGTGAGTGCACTTTTGAGTATGTATGTGGAGAAAGACCAGTTTTTATTTTGTTATTTGAGAATTTTTATGTTTTCAACAATCTTTGCTTGGCAAAGTTTATTTTAATCTTATTTTATAAGGTGAGATTCATGTACAACAAGATGTTATAAATAATTGTTCTCAAGCCACTAAACAAATGGCAGAAATAATCCCAGAACTGGTGACTTTTAGCTGTAATGAAAGAGCATGGCTATTAGCGTTAGGAAGACCAGGATTCAAGCGCTGGTTCTATAGCTTACCAGGTATCTAACATTATGTGGTTAGGTTAACTTTTCTAGGTCTCAGGTTTACTATCAGTCTAGGGAAGCTGCTAAACACCAACACTATTGCTATTCAGATATGGGATCTAATTGAACTAAACAGCTTCTGCACAGCAAAAGAAACTATCATCAGAGTAACAGGCAACATACAGAATAGGAGAAAATGTTTGCAATCTATCCATCTGACAAAGGGCTAATATCCAGAATCTACAAGGAATTTAAACAAATCTACAAAAAAACCGAAAAACCATCAAAAAGTGGGTAAAGGATATGAACAGACACTTCTCCAAAGAAGGCATTTATGCAGCCAACAAACATGCAAAAAAGCTCATCATCACTGGTCATCAGAGAAATGGAAATCAAAACCACAATGAGATACCATCCCATGCCAGTTAGAATGGTGATCATTAAAAAGTCAGGAAACAACAGATGCTGGAGAGGATGTAGAGAAATAGGAATGCTTTTACACTGTTGGTGGGAGTGTAAATTAGTTGAACCATTGTGGAAGACAGTGTGGTGATTCCTCAAGGATCTAGAACCAAAAATATCATTTGATCCAGCAATCCCATTACTGGGTATATACCCAAAGGATTATAAATCGTTCTCCTTTAAAGACATATACACACGTATGTTTATTGCAGCACTATTCACAATCGCAAAGACTTGGAACCAACCCAAATGCCCATCAATGATAGACTGGATGAAGAAAATGTGGCACATATACACTATAGAATTCCATGCAGCCATAAAAAAGAATGAGTTCATGTCCTCTGCAGGGACATAGATGAAGCTGGAAACCATCATTCTCAGCAAACTAACAAAGGAACAGAAAACCAAACACTGCATGTTCTCACTCATAAGTGGAAGTTGAACAATGAGAACGTATGGACACAGGGAGGGGAACATCACACACCAGCACCTGTTGCGGGGTTGGGGGCAAGGGGAGGGAGAGAATTAGGACAAATACCTAATACATGCGGGGCTTAAAACCTAGATGACGGGTTGGTGGGTGCAGCAAACCACCAAGGCACATGTATACCTATGTAACAAACCTGCACGTTCTGCACATGTATCCCAGAACTTAAAGTATAGTAATTAAAAAAAAAAGAAGATCTCATGATATGGTGCTTACAAATTATGAAACATAGTATGGGTGGCAACTCAATTAATATAAATCATTATTATCAGTATCTTTTCATCATCATCACCATTAGCATGATAAATGTCATTGTTTCATTGGCTTATTCAATTAGCACTCATTTATTCTTTGCAGAGAGCTATGCTAGGCACTAGTAATAAAAAGGTAATTTAAAAGGAAAGAGATAATAAAGTGAAAACACAGGTAGACTTTGAAGCCAAACTGCCAGGGTACAAATTCCAGCACCACCACTTACTAGTTGTGCACCCTTGGACAACACTTAAACTGCTTCTGCTTTAGTCTCCTTCAGTATATAAGATAGAAATAGGCTAGTACCTGCCTCATTGGGTTGTTGCTTTAAGTTGTTAATATATGTCAAGAGCTTTGACCTGCGCTTGGAATACAGTCAGCATTATAGAAGTGTTAGAGAAATACTCGATGTATAAGACCTGAAACTATAAAACTACTAGAAGAAAACAAAGAGGAAAGCTCCATGATATTGGTCTGAGCAATGAATTATTGGATACTACCCCAAAAGTGCAGGCCATAAAGGCAGAAATAGACAAATGGGATGATTACATCATATTTAAAAGTTTCTGAAAAGGAAACAACAGAGTGAAAAGACAACCCACAGCATGTGAGAAAATATTTGCAAACAATGCATCTGATTAGGAATCAATATCCAAATCTATATGGAATTTAATAGCAAAAAACCCCCAAATGACCTGATTAAAAAAGTGGGTGAAAAGACCTGAATAGATATTTCAAAAAAAGGGACATACATATCACCAACAGATACGTGAAAAAAGGCTCAACATTACTAATTATCAGGGAAATGCAAATTGAAACCACAATATTCCCTGTTAGAAGAGCTATTACCAAGATGATGAAAGATAAGTATTGGCAAGATGTGGAGAAAAGGGAGTCCTTGGACACTATTGGTGGGAATATAAATTAGTATAGTTATTACAGAGCCATAGTATGAAAGCTCCTCAGAAAATTAAAAATGGAATTACCATGTGATTCAGCAATCCCACTTCTGGGTAGAAAACCAAAGGAATTGAAATTGCTGTGTCTAGGAGATACGTGAACTCTCATGTTTATCGCATCATTATTCACAATAGCACAGATATGGAAGCAACCCAAGTGTTCAGGAAAAAGATGAATAAAAAAAGAAAATGTGGTATATATACACAAATGGAATACAATTCAACCTTAAAAATGAGGGAAATTCTGTCATTGTGACAACATGGATGAATCTAGAGGACATTACATTAAATGAAATAAGACAAAGACAAATACTGCATCATCTTACTTATATGTGGAATCTAAAATAGTCAAACTCAGTAGAAGTAACGAGTGGAGTGGTCATTATCACAGGCTGGGGAGCTGGGGACAGGTGAATAGGTAAAGGGGAGATGCTGGTGAAAGAGTATAAAGTTCAATTTTATAGGGTCCTTCTAGGTTTAAACATTCTTACCACAAAGAAATGATAAATATGTGAGGTGATGAATATTTTAATTGCTTGATTTAATCATTCTGCAATTATATACATATAACAAATCGCACACCATAAATATATATAATTATTATTTACCAATTAAAAATAATTAAATTTTAAAAAACAGAACATAAGCTGCATGAAGATATTTTTGGTATTTTTTACTACTTTATAAAGTTATAAATATTTATTGAATAAATGAAAGATAAAATCCTTTCCTTCAAGGAACACACAACCTAGTAAAGAAGTTTATGATCACACAGATTCCAATCAAAGTGTCTTTTTAGTAGATGCTAAATAGAGTTATACTTACACATGGCCCCTGCCCTCTGAGAGGGACTTCTGAGAAGCCAGCCAACATTAATGAAATATGTGTGATGACTTTATAATTAATTATTGTGCTGGAGGCACAGTCCTCCTTTTGTCTTTGGATAACTCAGTGAGCAAATAAACAAATTTGCTTTACAGAGTCTCATGAAACCTAATTGACATCATGATCCCGCCAAGTACTGTGGCACAGGTGAAGCCATTTTGCACTCATGGTTCAATGAGTATAAGAGACATGAAAAGCACACCTCCTTCCACATTGCACAGACCTTCCGGTTCAGCGTGTCTTCTCCTATCACGCAAGTTTCGCATCCAGATTAGCACAAGGATGTCTCACAAGGAGATAGAAGAGGGCCCACAAATATAACTTCAGTTCTCAATTTAAAGGTGATTTTACCCTCTTATGGGACTTTGATATCTGGTGATATGCAGTATTCAACTTCATAGCATGAGGCATTTTCCAAGATGAGGATCTTTGAACCATTATATTACTCTTGCTGGTACAACTGACCATGCACACACACACACGTACATGCACACACATATACGCACACATGAACAATATTATCTATGTATGTTTCAAGCATAGAGCTAGATAGTCTAGCACAACAGAACTGGGTTGTCCCATAAATCCCACTAGCAGGTAAGTTCTGAGGATGACAACTGTCCACTTTTTCCTGCATATACTAGATCAACAGCTTCTATGCTCACATAGCAGATCATGTACCTTGGAGTACCCAGAGGAACACAGGACAGGTTTCCTTGTCTTGTCCTCCAAGCTCTAGTCTGTGCCTTCAGTCCTGCTCCTTCTTCCCCTCCCACTGGCATTCCTCCCTTGCTGTGGGAGTCTGTCTGTCTGCAGAGATCTGTCTGCTGAGGTCTCTCTAGTCCTTCTGGGCCAACCTCATTACTTTCCTAACTCTTTTGCTCTTTTTTTTTTTCTTTTTTGAGACAGAGTCTCACTCTGTTGCCCAGGCTGGAGTGCAGTGGTACAATCTCAGCTCACTGCAACATCTGCCTCCAGTGTCCAAGTGATTCTCCTGCCTCAGCCTCCTGAGTGGCTGGGATTACAGGTGCGCACCACCACGCCCAGCTAATTTTTGTATTTTTAGTAGAGATGGGGTTTCACCATGTTGGTCAGACTGGTCTCGAACTCCTGACCTTGCAATTCCCCTGCCTTGGGCTCTCAAAGCACTGGATTACAGGCTTGAGCCACTGTGCCCAGCCTACTTTCCTAACTTTTAAGACCCCTTGACTTAATCTGCTTTATTTCTCACGTTTCTCCAGCTCCACCTTTCTGTCGAATGGAGAATACCCTCCACAAACCCCTCTTTGAAGTGTGAGTCTCAAGCAGAGTGGATGGGCCTCTAAAAGATGCAGTATTTGTGCTTTACTATAGCACCCTCTCTCTCCAAAATTTTGAATTCTAATACCCTCAGGCTCTTGCCACATTTAAAATCTGAATTCTGCCAATTGCATTTTTTCTATACTTTTCCAGACATGAGTCAAAACCAAGTTTCAAATCTGTTTTCCTCCACAGTAACTCTAGACCTCCTGAAAATCAGATATGTGACAGGACATCTCTGTGAATGTCTCCAGCTAATTCTACTGTGATTATCAACTGGGAGACATAAGTAATTTCAAGGGGCCACCTCTAGCTAACGCCACAGGACAGCGTACAGCGACACGTTGTTGCAACCACAAACAAAAGATGATGCAGTGCATCACTGCATGCTAAACTCACTCACAGAAAACTATTTTTTTTTTTAAAGAAAATGTGGTACATATACACCGTGGAATACTATGCAGCCATAAAAGAATGAGATCATGTCCTTTGCGGCAACATGGATGCAGCTGGAGGGCATTATCCTAACTGAATTAACGCAAGAACAGAAAACCAAGCACTGCATGTTCTCACTTGTAAGTGGGGGCTAAATACTGAGCACACATGGACATAACTATTGGAACAATAGACACTGGGGACTACTGAGGGGGCAGAAGGGAGGTGGGATTGTATTGCTAAACTACCTAATGGGTATTATACTCATTAACTGAGTGATAGGATGAGTACACTATACCTCAGCATCACACAATATACCCATGCAATGAGCCTGCACGTGGGCCTGCTGTATCTAAAATAAAAGTTGAAATTTAAAAATAAAAAGAAACCAGGTGGGAAGAAGAATGCAAGGTATTGGGTTTGAAGCACTCATATCAGGACCTTGTGTTGAAGTTCAATACACAGACTAGCTCACCCCATTTCCATTCAATCATTTCCTTTCATCAGCATCTCTAACATAAAAGAAGTATCAATACTATGTATGGACAAATTGTGCAGGCAAATCATGTGACTAAATGTCAGTTTGAGATCCTATGTAAATCCGCTTCCCTGTGCATGTAGTTGAACATGTCTTAAAAGCCCCAGAATTGTCTGGTCCCTATTTTCCTCTCTAAGCTAATCTCTCTCAGTTCCAACCACACCAGCCTTCCTTCCTTTGTTCAAACACACAATGCTGCTCCCCTCTTCCCATAGCCTTAATACATGCTACTCCTTTAACAATATTTTATGGCTATATCACATCTTATAATCAAATACTGTCATACTAGTAACACATCTAAACTGTTGTACATTTTGCCATTTTACATTTCTCTTTCAGTTACTTGACTGATATTTCTGTCCACCGTAGACTGTGAGATTCCTCAGAGCAGGGATTCCATCTGTTTTGCTCACCATCAGCCCTGACCCAAGTATCTGGCATATAGTAAGCCTTCAATTAATATTTGTTGAATGAATTACTGATGTGGATTTGATCTTCTATTTTTCTTCTTTATTGTTTTAATATTTTTGAGCTTTGGCTCTGTGGCCAGGCACTTTCCTGTCCTAGCACACATATTTTCTTAAGCCATTCTTTTGCTTAGAGATTTATTTACTGGTTAGTCAAAGCACAATAATTTGAGAAGTTATAATTTTGGAAACTCCCTAATTGGAAAATGGATGGGATCATAATGAACAAAGAAAATATCAGGTTGTTTTGTTTTTGTTTTTGTTTGTTTGTTTTTTGAGACAGAGTTTTGCTCTGTTGCCCAGGCTAGAGTGCAGTGGCATGATCTCTGCTCACCGTAACCTCCACTTCTCGGGTTCAAGCAATTCACCTGCCTCAACCTCTCAAGTAGCTGGGATTACAGGTATGTACCATAATGCCTGGCTAATTTTTGTATTTTTAGTAGAGACGGGTTTTCACCATGTTGGCCAGGCTGGTCTCGAACTCCTGGCCTCAAGTGATCTGTTCACCTCGGCCTCCCAAAATGCTGGGATTACAGGCATAAGCCATCACTCCTGGCCAGGATTAGGGACTTTGAAATAAGGTTTCGAGTAGATCAGCGATGATCAGGAATGAGAATACAGACATGTGCTGAGCAAAGGGAGGTTGTTGGAGAAGGGGAAGAAATCTGCTCAGCCCAGGGGGTTGTGGCCACTGCTAGGTGACGTGCAATGAGGTTACCTTCTAGGCAGAATGGATGTACAGATTTGGGATTGAATAAACTTGTTCTTGGCCCAAAACTTAAAGTAGCTGTCACTATAGCTGGACATGATGAATTAATTGGAACCTACTCTAAACAGGCCACCCTGCACATTAAGCTTCTCAAATGCACTAACAAAGCACTTTTGAAAGAATTCTAACTAGGTCAGCAATACATTTGCTGTATATCACACAAATAATTCTAATATAATTCATAAATATCTAGGCTTCTGGAAATTGATGTTTTCTGTAAATATTGGAGTGTGAACAACTCTCACTGCCAGTCAAAGTAGAATCAAATTTGAGGCTGGTACATATCAAGGGAAATAATAGAGATTCATAGATTACAGGGTGAGAGAGGTCAAGTGCTATATATTATCTGCCATAAACAGAAACTTCAAGACCTATAGCTTTTTTTTTTTCATACAGTCAGACACAATCTTCTTTTCCTTCATACTGTGTTCCTGAAGGCACCTTAGTGAGATTTTCTGGAGTAAATGATTCTATTGGCCTGCTTGAACTTATTTGAAAAGATTCATCCTAAAGTTTCCTCTCAGCTTCTCTTTCAAATCAGTTTTTTGCCTGTCCCTGGCCCTCTTGACTGCCTTGATTAACTTTTCCAGGATTCAATCATCATGATCTCTTTAGGAGATTCAACAACGTTAGTATGGAATCTTCCAAAAATATTTCGCTGAAATGTTAACGGTGATAATCAGGATGGTAATATTGCACATGTGCATGCACACATGTATTTTCCAAAATTTCTAAAGTTAGTAGGTATTGATTTGATAAGGCGTCAGTCAATTATTTATTCAGCCAATACTGCTTGAGTGTCTGCTCCGTACCGTTCATTCTTCTAGATGCTTCAGATACAGAGGCAACAATGATTAAAATAAAGGGCGAAGGTTTCATTTGGGAAGATGTCAGTAATATTCTTGCAAACCCCTAGCATTACATTCTACACCGTGTCTTCCAGAATCCAAAGAACAGGCTCTGTGGCAGCAGCCTCTGTCCTGAAACATGGGAAAATAGAGGAAAAAACTGAGAGGAGAGAAAGCTCAACTTTCTTTTGTCAATATAAATTTCTGAGTTTTTATTTTAGAGTGAAGTTAAAATTACTTCTTGAAGGTGAACTAATTTTCTTTTCTACATTTTCGGAGTTTCCCTTTGGGTGAGGCATATAGTGACCTAATTTTCTGCAAGATTTTGTAATCTATGGGGATGAAAATTAAAAGGAGAGATGTGTGCTGAGGAAAGAAAAAAGAGGAAGTAGAAAAGGATAGTGAATCACTAAAGATTTTTGCCTCAGAGAAACAAAAAAATATCTGTTGACTTCTCAGTGTGTTGATTTTTCATCCAAATGTTTGTTAGGAAGTTGCTGATAGAAAAGTGGGTTGATAAACGTATTTGAATTTGCTATCTAAAATTACCTATACATCTAATGGAGCAAGAGTGAGGCTTTTGAAATACGTGATTTAATTAAATATTTTTTGACATTGACTATATGCTTATAGACAAAATACCTATCCTGCCTTTAGAAACAATTCATTTTTTAAAAATATGTGACAGGTAACTAAAGCATAACATATACATGTCAGCCACCACTCCCATGGCTTGCCCTAGGCTCCTGTCACTTCAAGAAGCATTGAGAAGAGACCTGGAGTCCCAGCCCAGGACTTCAGAAGGAGCACATGGCAGGAAGAAGGCTGTCAGGGATGATTCTCTTGCTGACCCTACTCCTGATGGACAGCTCTGTGCTTTGAGCTGCCTGACTCAGTAGGAGGTTCGCTGTGGCTTATGCCATAGGCTCTTCCTAGGATTTATCTTGGCTTATCCTAGTCCCTAGGAGTGCCCTCCTTCTCACCCACCAACCCACACTCAGTTGTGGAATTCCCTGGAACTGTTCTCTTGACAATGTCCTCATGTGTTTTCTCTCAGAATTTCCAAAAATGCCACTTAACTGATATACTCTCTGTAATTTGGCATGTGCTGTTTTCTCTGCCTAGAGAGACACCCGCCTTACTCACTGTCTAATTCATGTTTGTGTCTCAGCTAACACATCATTTCCTTTTTCTAAGGCCATGCTAAGCCCTCATTGTCTACGTACCCATATCCTTGGTACATCTCCTACAAAGCACCAATTGCATTAACTAACCTTGCCCAATGTCGATCCTTCTTGCTGACTTATAAATTCAGTGATGACAAGAACTTTCTCTATCTACATGTTTGACAAAAAGTAATAATGAATTGAATAAATCAAAGGCCTATATTTTCCCCTTGCTCTTGAGTATTCCTTTATCTCTCTGAGAAAGAAAGCAAACGCAAACATCTTGAATCTGCTCCCTACTTGACAGGCAGAAATTCAGATCATGGACCAAAAGCTTGTATTTGCATTCCAGATCACACTGTGTCACTTTCAGTACCAACTATGTGGTATTTTTTTTTTTTCTAAATGAGTTCATCTCCAGTTATATCATGGAAGACAAAGAGAAATGTGGTTCAGGAAGTGCAATTCTGTTTGGCATATTCTTCTCCAGAAAAACCACTGCTCTTTAAAGAACATGGGAACTGTAGATTTCTAGGGTATAATTTTTGAGGGAAGGAACAAACAAAAAGGGGTGCAGAGAAGATTGAAAATGTGGTTGTCCATTATGCTTGCCTAAGGTAGCCTGGTGATGCCTCTGCTGCAAGTGATATCTGGAATGAAAGGAAGCTCTTTGGAGATCATCGGCAATCTTTTTTTTCTTTTTAGATGGAGTCTCACTTGGTTGCCCAGGCTGGAGTGCAGTGACACTGTCTTGGCTCACTGCAACCTCTGCCTCCCAGGTTCAGGTGATTCTCCTGCCTCAGCCTCCCGAGTAGCTGGGATTACAGCCATGCACTACCATGCTCAGCTAATTTTGTGTTCTTAGTGAAGATGGGGTTTCAACATGTTGGCCAGGCTGGTCTTGAACTCCTGACCTCAGGTGATACACCTGCCTCGGCCTCTTAAATTGCTGGGATGACAGGCGTGAGCCCCACCTGTCATTAACCTTTCTTAATTAAAACTGGCCCTTGAATCTTTGATGAAGGCTGCTACCATGGGCTAAAATGATAACTAAAATCCACAGAGGACCCAAAACCCAAATCCTGCCCTTTTAGGAGACAAGGGCAGTGAGAAAACACTTCATCAGCAACTCACAGTTAAGCATCTCCAAACTTTCCCCAATTTTTTCCATCTGAGTAATCAGGAGTATAATTGAACACAATGAAGTGTTGAAAGTTTTTCAATGTAATATAGAAGATTAACTATACAATTATCCCTTACAGAGCTAAAATAACACTGCTCTTGCATCACAATGTCTTACATAAGATTCTTTGAACTTCCTTGAGGCTCTGTAATAGTTTAGTACCCTATCATTATTGTCTTGCAGTCCGCCCATTTTTCAGATGGGAAGACAAAAATAAAGAACAATTTATCCTTCGTATTGTGACCTAACCTAATTTTATCAAGACATAAAAAAAAGTCCAATGGACACATATTTACGTCATTTTGAACAAAATACCACATAACTGTGATGAATATTTTTGCTGTACATATCAAAGTGATATTGAACAGAACTGCAAGAGATATAAAATCATATTAGTCAGTTACAATAATTTAAAAATATAGCAGGTTGGGGTTATTTATTATAAAGATAAATATATCCTTTATGACTCATTGCTTTCTGGGTCATTGCTGAGTGACAGTGCAGCATAGTATTCTGTATTTTGCATAATGACCCAGAGTTATCTCATCAGTTTAAGTTCTTTTTATAACCTCAGGTTATAAAAAGTCGGAGAATTGTGTCATACAATTTTTAAAAAATTTTCAAGCTTGGATTGAGGTATAAAAGGTATTTTGGTTATTTCATCAGTCAATAAACAACATATTCAGTGGTAAAATTCAGGCAGATTTCACTCCGAAGGCTTACATCAGGTGCTGTACCCCAAGAGGCCCATGGCATCTTGCAAATACGTTAGACTCTACCATAATTCATTGTACATCTCTTTTCTAACTAAGCTCTCAGCTCTGAAGAAGAAGAATTGAATATTTTTCCGTACAACACAACACTTGACACATAGCAGGTATTCAATTAAGTGTTTCTTGGAGGAGGGATATTTACTTGAAATAGTCCTTGCCATTCTGATTGGCTGCCTGGATGAAGGCTAAAAGGCCCTGAACTTTGAGATACTTTAATTCTAGTCAGGCATGAAAACACCATTCTTTTTGTACCAAATGTGGGCATGTTTACAGGTAGATTATTATATTGGTGAAGAATTGATCATTATTCAGAAATTTGCACTATTAAGAAAAATTTTCCAAAACGTAGGATTACTGAGTCTTTTTTTTTTTTTTGAGGCGGAGTCTCACTCTGTTGCCCAGACTGGAATGCAGTGGAGTGACCTCCACTTCTTGGGTTCAAGTGATTCTCCTGCCTCAGCCTCCCAAGTAACTGTGATTACAGGCGTGCACCACCACAGCCGGCTAATTTTTTGTACTTTTAGTACAGACAGGGCTTCACCATATTGGCCAGCCTGGTCTCGAACTCCTGACCTCAGGTGATCTGCCCGCCTTGGCCTCCCAAAGTGCTGGCATTATAGGCGTGAGCCACTGTGCCCAGCCGGATTACTGATTCTTTTCCATATCCTCTAAGACATTGTGTAGAAGCCTGGCCAAGGGATTACTTAATTCTCCTGTCTTACTTGACTTGCTAATTTACTATTATTCAGGATAATAAACCTTATAACTTTCCAAGGGTAAATGTTAGCTCTCAGAAAATGGATAGCAATATAGATGATTCTCATCAAATAGCAATAGAAATGAATGTTGTGTGCAAGACACAAATAATTTTGACCAAAGATTATAGTTTTATTGTCCTTTATGAACATTAAGCTATTTTGTACCTGAACTGGAAATCTTGTTTTTCTCGTAGCCACTATACATATCTCCAGTACTTTTGGGACCAGCTTTAGTATTTTGGTGGTTTCATCATTAATGAACTAAAAAAACTTTGACATGTGCTCACTTTATATTTGTATATAATTTGTTGTTTTAGCTTTTTGAAAAATATACTTTGGCAAAGTAAAACTCATATATATTTAACGTGTGTAATCATGTTTAAAAGGTATTGAAAAATGCAGAAATAATCCAGATCCCCCAAAATATATTTTTATATTATATTTGATTTTTTAAAAATTGATGTGGAAAACCAAATGTGTCTGTGTGTGAGTAGGGGTTGGGTAGGGGTTAATCTAAAGAGTATAGGTTGAATTTTGCATATAATTGTTTGAGTAAAAACAAGATGGGGCAAATGAGGAAAATAAGATTTCAACAGTGAGGACGTCAGTGGGAAAGTGATGAATTTGTCAATATGGTGTACATTAAATAAGAATGCCTGCAGGCCAGGAAACAGGTCAACAAGAAAAGAGTGGGCAGACACTGAGGTGTTGGTGGGAAGCTGACATTGTTGAGACATTCTTCTTTCAGTATCACTGCAAATTTTTAAAAAATAATAGCATTACTCTATAGGCATTTTTAAATGAACTATTTGATTCAAGCTCCACCTTAAAATGGGTTATTTGGGGGAAGTTAAGGGACCATTAAAAAATAGAAATGCTTGTTAAGAGATGACACAATGAAATTTGATTCAATGCAATATCTGTATTTATATTCCACTATATACATAATTTATGTATCTACTATAAACCAAACTTTGAAAAGCACATAGCAGATTAAAAAGAAAAAGACATAAGCCTTTCCTCAAAGATATGAAATGTATTAGAAATGCAAAGCATAGCAATATAAAATAGAAAGAAAGTGAGATACCAGAGAAAGAAAGTAGTAATATCAGTGATTCTGGAGAAAGCCAACTATGGGAAATAATTGCTTCCTGGATAACAAAGACAATTACAGCCCATTCCCAAAAACTTCTTTATATTTGCCTTCAGTCATTAGCTTAAAGGTTCTTATTAACAGAGAAGATCACTGAAAGAGAAGAGTAATATTATTTCAAGTGAATCAAGGACTTGATCTGCTCTACAAAGCTCCTGTGTTCTATGGTGCCCTCAACCACATGTACACAGCTTAGTTGAGACCTACCTGTGGGGCAGCTGTGCTGTCTGGATGGCTCAGGTAGGAAGAAGAGGGAAAAACCAATTCTGCACCCAGTTTCTTCTCCTGTCCTTTTCTCAGCCCTAGATAGAATAAAGAGGGAGATAAAATAAGACTGCCTTTGCTGCTTGCTTTTATATCTCTGAAGTTGCTAACATTTTTCTTTATATCTATTTATTGCTAAATAGCCTTAGAACAAAATTTGGTTGAAGGGTATGAAAACAAAAAGTAGTAGAATTCCCTCCAAACTTATTACTAGTACCTTTTAAAGTGCTTTTACAATTTTTTTCCTGTATATCCTTCCAGTGTTTATCTGTATGCAAGCATGCTTTTAGAGAGTTTTATCTGTAGTATAGTTAAATTCTTTATTATTCTCATTCATTCCATGATTTTTCATATTCTCCTTATAATTATATGTTAATAATTATTTTATATTGCTGCATAAGATTTAGACTCACTATACCTTACTTAGGTGTTTCTCTAATTTGAGGCATTTATTTAAATATCAGTTTGGTATTTTAAATAATTCTGCTGTAAATATTTTGGTGAATGTCATTCTGTTTTCATCATATCAGTGACCATAAACAATCCTAAAGTAAGTATTTTTAAATATCTTAACTACTCTAAAATCAGGAAGTTGTTTTAAAATCTCTGTATTTAATATGCTTGTTACATATTATAAACAAGATGTATTAAATTGATGGCAGGTCCTAAAACCATTATTAGTTTAGAATATAGAAAATTATGTATTACCTTAAATTCCTAAAATTGATAAGAATAATAATATAAGAGGTTGTAAATATAAAGAATGTTTAATTGTTGAAATATCTACCTCTAAAAAATGAATAGAAGATTTAAAAAAACAACAAAATGAAAAACTTCTTCTTTTTAAATGCTTAGGAGTGCGTACACATACACACATATATTTAACCAAACAAAAATGTTAGTTAAACACAAAACGTATAAATAATAGGCCAAAGAGGAAGCCTGTGCGTGAATCTCTCCAGACTCTACCTGTGTCTTTGTCCTCAGTTTCCAACTGTGTGCCCTCACTATGTGAACGTAAAAATGTTCAACTCAGAAAAGAAGCATAAATTTAGATAGAGAATTATAAATATATTAAAGCAGCAACACGGATGATGGAAATCAATAAAAAGCAGGTTGCAAAAAGCTAGCAGGAGCACAACTGCATGCTGGGTCCTCTGAGTCCTAGTGAATCTCTGAAGATTGTCTTCATTTTCTCATTTGGGCAACCTTGGTGGAAAAAAATTGGCAAGTACTAGGAGATATTCATACTCTTTTTCTTGGCAACTCAAAGATGTAATTGCATCGGTGAAAATCTTGGGAGGACATGGTAGGGAAAGTTAAAAATGTACCCTTCGGCAGGCAGGTGGGATATATTAAGGAGGATCATCCTAAACCATATGTTCTATAATCATGAAATCAGGAAAAAGAACAAAATAGACACATTTTACAATCAGAAAACATGTCACAGATTAATTTTGTATCATCCTTTGTGTGCATGCATGCGTATGTGTGTGACATTTCTGATAATGTAATACACAAGACCTATCCAAATCAGTTGTCTCTGGGTAGCATGATCAAGTAATGGAGAAACAAGGGAAGGGGATGGGGAATGGAGGGACTCTTTTTACCTTGTTACATTTTCTATTGATACATCTTATAGCTACATTATATGTATTTATCTTTGTATGTATTTATATCTATACCTGTTTTGGTATTAATATGTATTTAGACCATTTGATACAGCATTTCCACTTTTAAAAACTTATTATTGGGAAACATAGATATGAATAAAGATGTATGTACAAAAATTTAACTGGCTGGTAATTTATAGTTAGTAAAATTTGGAGAAAACAGAGTTAAGCATTACTGGAATGGTTAAATGTTGCAATGCTTCTGTATGATGAAATCCAAAGACAAAAAGATGAATGCTCATAACCTGATACTATATAAATAAGGCTAGGTAAGAGAAAGGGAGGGAAGGGAGAAGAGTCTGGGGATAAATAGAAAGAGCAAGAAGACACATGAATAGATGGAAGGAAAAACATCATATTATTAACAGATTGGCAGTGATAAATACACCTCAGACATGCGGTTACAGATGCTTTTCCTTATTTTCATTACTTTACTCGTTATTGTCAATATTTGATAATGCATACATATATTATTTTCATATGGAAAATATTAAAGTGTTTTTAAAATCCATATTGTTTATTGCTAGGTGTAGGTATATTATGTAGACATAGCTGTTGATACATAGTGCCAAATTTGTCTTTTAGAAAGGTTGCTTCATAATATACACAGACGTGAATTCTCCTGCTAGCTTTTTGCAACCTGCTTTTTATTGATTTCCATCATCCGTGTTGCTGCTTTAATATATTTATAATTCTCTATCTAAATTTATGCTTCTTTTCTGAGTTGAACATTTTTCTATTTGTTACATTTTATCTTTTCTGAACTGCCTAGTTCTGTCCTATGTCAAAAAGGGTTTTCTTAAAAATAGATTTATTAAATGTAGTACAAATATGTTTTACTTGATTTTTAACCATGATACGTTTGACATAAGTGAAAATTACTGATTGGTGTATAAGATTCACCATTTGTCTGATGGGTATACTAAAAGCCCAGACTTCACTGCTAGGCAGTAGACACATACAAGAAATCTGTACTTGTACTGATTTCCCTCTTTTTCTATGAAAATCTGTAAAAATAACAAAGCAATAAAAATTCAAAGGGAATGTATAGGAAGCAATACTTTGCTGTTACTCGGAACTGGGGCGCATAAAAGGAAGTCATGGGGATTAAAGATGGAAAAATAATTTGGGAAATATTGAATAGTAGGCGAAGACATTTGGGTTTGTCAGTATTTAATGGAGAGCCATTGGGGATTTTTGAACAAAGTACTGAAATAGTCGGAATTGAGCTTCACTACACAAGATGAAGAAGTCTTAGAGATCTACTGTACAGCATATTGTCAGTCATTAACAATATTGTATTATAGATTTAAAAAGTTGGTAAAAGGGTAGTTCTTATGTTAAGTGTTACCACAAGTAATAATAAATAAATAAATAAACAGGGCAGGAAAAAACTTTTGGAGATATTGGATAGGTTTATGGCACAGACTGTAAAGTTGGTTTCAGGGGTGTATGCAAATTTCGAAACTCACTAAGATGTATATATTAAATATGTCCAGCCTTCTGTGTGTCAATCATACCTCGATAAAGGTAATATAATTTTAAGAAAAAAATTTTTAAGAAAAGCTTTTAAAGGAAAAAAGTTAATGTAATTTATTTTAAATTATAAAAATACAAATTTGGACACATCAATATTTTCCTGGATAATTTTAATTGTTATAAAAAATTAGCATATTCAAAGGACGTTAAAATTATGTAATTTATATGATTATATATAACTTTCCCTAGTTTAGAGAAAATTTCTATGGTTTTTTGTTTACCTTAAGATATTTAAATAATATGGCCAACAAGCATATAAAAAAATCCTCAACATCACTAATCATTACAGAAATGCAAATCAAAACCACAATGAGATACTATCTCACACCAGTCAGAATGGCTACTATTAAAAAGTAAAAAAAAAAACAAACAGATGTTGGCAAGGCTGCAGAGAAAAGGGAATGCTTATACACTGTTGGTGGGAATGTAAATTAGTTTAGTCGCTATGGAAAGCGGTTTACAATTTCTCAAAGAACTCAAAGCAGAATTACCATTGGTTCCAGCAATCTCGTTATTGGTTACATACCCAGAGAAATATAAATCATTCTGCCATAAAGACACATGCATGCATATATTCCTCACAGAACTATTCATAATAGCAAAGATGTGGAATCAGCCTAAATGCCCATCAACAGTGGACTGGACAAAGAAAATGTGTTACATGTACACCAAAGAATAATACACAGCCATAAAAAAGAACAAGATCATGTCCTTTGCAGCAACGTGGATGAAGCTGGACCAGGCCATTATTATCCTAAGTGAGCTAACACAGGAACAGAAAACCAAATACTGCATGTTCTCACTTATAAGTGGGAGCTAAACATCGACTACATATGAGCACAAGAAGAGAACAAAAAACACTGCGGCCTACTTGAGAGTGGATGGAGGGAGGAGGTTGAGGATCAGAAAACTACCTATTGGGTACTATGCTTATCATTTGGGTCATGAAATAATCTGTACAACAAACCCCCATGAAACATAATTTACTCATAAAACAAACCTGCACATGTACCCCTAAACCTAAAATAAAAGTTAAAATATGTATATTTAAATACATTCTAATTTGATATGCTAAATATTATTTTTCTATTAGTATAAGCATACTGCCTTTCTTATGACAGATTTATATATATAAAATTTGCAATCTTTCTGGAAATATTTTGGGGGATACAAATATGTGCACATATGCGTATGTATGTATATGGAAGTAATTATGTATAAACAGAAAAATTACATATATACAAAGAAATTATATTTTATATATGATATGTAACATGTATTTTCTCCACTACACTGTTAATTACTTTTGTTGTTTTTTACTAGTTTATATTGTATTTATTCACCTAAAGAAATTTGTGCATTAAGGACAAATTAGAAAATAAAGAGAAGAAAAAGGAATTAAATATCATCCTTAATCTAACAATTCACAGTTAGTCATTAGTCACTCTTTTGTACATATCTTCTAGAGTATTTCCTATGCTAATATGTAATCATACTACGTATAATGATTTTTATCTTGTTGTATATTGTTTTGTTTAATAATCTCATGTGATCTTATTTCCACTTTATTATTTTTCTATTACCTCACTTGTAGTTGCTAAATAAAATTCCATGAAAAGATCTGACATGATGATTTAACCAATTCCACATTTTAAATCATATGTTATTTTCAAGTTTTTATTATCAATTGTGATCAGATGACTCTTTTGCAAATTAATATTTTCACATATGCTTATTTCCTTAAGATAAATTTCTAGTTGTAGAGTTGTTTGATCAAATGTAATGAATATTATAATAATCTTTGATACAAAACATCATATGGCCTCTCAGAAAGATTCTACCATTTTACCATTTCACCAGCAATGTCTGGTGGGTGGCGGGGGGTTGGCCAGGTACATGTTTTTCTCTATGTTTGTTGATATTAAGCATTAAGATTATATCCTATCCTTTAGGAGAAATAGGTATCTTCTCATTAATTAATTCACATATCTATTACATATAGACTTTTCATATGTTTATTTGATATTTTAGTTTTTCACTTTTAAAGTTTTGAAGTCAGTTATGACAATCAGTCCAGGGATGTTTCTGTTCTACATTTATGATATTTCTAAAATTAGTTTAAATTTCTTTTAGATGCAAGTATATGAATAAGTGAGGAATAAAATAGACACCTATCTGGCTAGTCAAATAACAACACTAAACATCTATTTCTTTATTGCATATGTATAATAGACATGTGAAAAGTTAGGTTTATCTTTAACTTTGCATTGCTGAAGCATAGTGACTTAATTTTATTTCAGATTATGTTATACAGGTTTAAAGTTGTGTTCTCTGTTTAATTTATCCTGATACTGTTTAGTAGATGTGAAAATGGCTTATTGAAAAGAGAGTTTTAAATTGTTTTTAATTTAGGTTCAGACTTTAAAAAATCCATTCATTTATTTGGTGCTGATTTGCATATTTGACCTCTGTAGCTTTCTGTTGTCTCAAGGAACCAATTAAAACATCTTCTTTCTAAGAATTTGTTATTAGAGTCAACTCTAGTAGAGTTATTGTATAGTAACACCCCAAAGTCTCAGTGGTATTCACATAATAAAGGTTTATTTCTCATCCATGCTGATGTTTACTGTGGGTCTTCTGCATGCTCTATTCCATGTTACTGTCATTGGGGGTTCAGTCTGACAGAACAATCTCTGACATCACCAGTCTCCTTGCAGATGAAAAAAGGTGCATGGTAAGCCAAGCATTGGATTTTAAAGCTTCTTCTTGGATGTGAAACACATTATTCAATTCACAGTTCATTGGACAAAGAAGTTATATGACCAGGGTTGATGTTAAAGAAGCCAGAAAATGTAATCGTCCTCCTCGAAAGGTACAGCAAATATTTTGAACAATAATACTATCACCACATCTGTTCAAATAGTTTGCTAATATTGGCTCTAGAATTACAAAGCTGTGCCAGTGGAAGAGTCTCTTATGCGTTAATTAATTTAAGAAATTTGACCCCAATGCAGCCCTAAGTGAATTAAAGTAGGAGTCTGAAAACTTTTTCTGTAAAGAGCCAGATAGTATATATTTCCCTCTTTGTGGATCATACAGTCTCTGCTGCAACATTTGCAACTTCTCAAGTCCACTAATATAGCCAGAAAGTGGCCCTAGTTATAACAGAAACAAATAGGCATATCTGTGTTCCAATAAATCTTTATTAACAAAACAATCCATGGACTGGATTTTATCTTGCTGACCATTTGCCAATCTCAGAAGAGATTCATTCTTGTCTAGTTAGAGTAGAAATTTAGAATAGCCTGTTGAGATCTGGAGTTTTATCCATTCTTGTTGAAAGAAATTTCACTAATGAATACAAACTAAAATTTTGTTTATGGTGGGTCATATTCCACTATAAGGTCAACCGTATTTATTTTAAAGCTGTTAGTTCTGTGAAAAATATTCTGAGAGGCAGAGGTATAATTCAAAAAATCATTTTCAATGTACTCACCTTCTTAAACAGGCTATAGAAAAAATGCTCTATGACATCTTCTTGGCTGATTGGAACATGCAGGCAACTGAGAAGGCATTGCAAGGGGTATGGATTAAGACAAGAATGAGAAATTCTAATTTAATTCTTACAGTAGAATTAAAGGGGGTAGTTACCTGAAAATTGTACTTATTTCATCATCGTCCTGGAAAAAGCACAAAACTATATTGCTACTTATCTTCTAAATGGACGTAATCATGATCTAGCCACATGCTATAACCAAAGGATAATTAGGCCTATATCTTCTGAACCTTTGTAGGAGTTCTTATAGGTAACCACAAACATAGAAATGTCTAATAGAGTTGACAAAGTAAAACAATATTATTCTACTTGATTGAGGCTTTCTGAAAATATTTAATAAAATTATATTGCTCCATTTTGTTTTAAGAATGAAAACCTGTGTTTTCTTGCAAAGAATAGGATATATGCAAAATACTTTCAACTTTCTTCTCCCCAAAAATGCAGACCTAAATACAAAGAAGAAATGTTAATTGATTCATTGAACTTTTGAAGCAACTATTTAACATTTTCAATAAAAAAAAGCCTACCTCTAATCCCAGGCGGCAGCTTTACTAAAGACATACATTATGATTATGCTTCTGTTTTCATTTCCTCCTAATATCAGTGACTAGGAAAGTCTGCTTTCTACATCTGGATTTCAAACCATCATTCAGACAAAGCTTCATTAAACCCACCAAACACTAAAGGTCACTGTGGTTTTCATATGTTTGTGTTGTAGCAACTAAATGTTGCAAAAATGATCAGCTGCCAGCCAAATTTAGAAACACCAGAAAATAGCAAAAGTAAGATGAGGACATACGTGATATGTTTATCCATTCAACAAATAGAAACACAGATCAATACCATATAGCCCTTGCCCTCAAGGAAATCATTCTTCATGGATGACTGAAGCTTAAATTGACAATTAGAATATTTCATGTAAATATGAAGTTGATTTCTATTAAATGGCTGGACTGAACTGATCCAGAAAATCATCTTTCTTATTTCAAACACACAGAAATGCCATTTAAAATATAACAAATACACATTAAATATATAGTTGAGCTCAAAATATAAACAAGAAAAAAAAATCTCCAAATAAAGAGGGACATTAACATAGGAGTGTGAGTGGAAGCTGATGCCCAGGGGCTCGTGGGCATTATTACTGGCTGGAGCCTTGGACTCTACCACTGTAAGTGAAGGAGACTTTTTGTGCTGAGAATTAGAAATGAATTGCTGCATAAAACCAAGATTCATAAGGTCTGACCCATTTATAAAATTGAAACTATACAAACTCCTAAAACCCAGGAAAGATGGTTCAAAATCTTACAGCCTGCCTGAGGTCATGAGCAGAAAGAGTGACCCAAAAGGAATCATCATCTCAGGTTTCTTCCCTTCAGTGAAGTCAGAGTTCACAATCCACCATCCACACCCCAAAGTAGTTCAATGAAAAGGTCTATTCGAGTTGACTATTCCTGAAATGACATTCTTATAACCCAGGAAAAACAGAACTTTCACAGAATATAGCTCCTGATGCAGATGAACTTTAAATTTTAAAAATTATAAAGCATGCATGAAGTCAAAAATTGACAGAGAAGAGAGAGACAGAGAGAGAGAGAGAAAGCAAGCATACCAAATAGAAGATAACTGGATATAATTAATTCAAAAGTGAATTTAAAATAAGTGGATTTAAAAATGTTTAGATGATAAAAAATAATAAATGTTCTAAAAACAATACAGTATGGTATAGGTAGAGACACTGTTGAAAAACAGCCAAACACATTTCTAAAAGACAAAACACAAAATGATTGAAATAAAAATAATAATTCCTCTTTGATTTATGATGAAATTTGATATAGTTAAAGAGTGAATATCTTAATTGGAAGACAGAGGGCAGGAAATCATCTGTGGTCATACAGAATGGTAAGGACATGGGAAAGAGGTTTTAGGATATATGGAGTAATAGATGAAGTAAGGGTGTTTCAAATGAAAGAAGAGGGAGAATGAGAAGGCAAAATTTAGTACTCAGACATTTCTCATCTTCATGATGAAAGATTCTCCCTGGGGCCTGAAAGGTTAAGGGAATGAATAACTCCTACCTTCTCAGGCCCAGTCCCAAGGCACAAGGCCACTTGCACCAGCAGCGTGTGTCAGCAAGATAGCAGAAGCAGGAAGAGAGCTGGATGGAAGACGTGTACCCCCTGAAGATCAAGAGAGAGGCCATCTGGGTACCATGTAGCAGTTACATCAGACTGAGACACTTCTGCTTACAAAAGACTATAAAACCTCTGCCCCATCCTCATTTGGTGCTGACACCGTTTTAGGCCTCAGCCGGCCTGCACCCAGGCACTTATTAAAACAGCATGTTGCTCCACACAGCCTTGTGTTGTTTATTGGTGTGTGCTCTCAGGGTTCGAACAGATACAAGAGCCTTCCACATGAAAGTCTGATTTTTTCAGATTGACTGAATCCTCCAAGTCTTAAATAGGGTGAATAGAACACCCACACCTGGTTGAATTATAATAAAATCACATAATACTAAAAATAAAAAGAATTATGTTTCCTGAAAGAAAACTTATTTACAAAGCAAAAGTAAATGAACTTACAAAAAATACTTTACCAATAATGGCAGGTTCAAAACACTAGGAAAAACATCCTTATAATAATGAAGAAAAATAACTGATTGTCTAGCATTTCAAATGAAGATAAAAATTAAGAGTCATGGTGAAATAAGGAAATTTCATAGCAAAAATTGGGAGAATTTACTTCTGGCAGTTCTCACTGTAAGAGCTACTAAAAATGTGCTTCAAAAAGAAGTATATTGAATTACAAAAAAAGAATAAGATGAAAGAAACAGTAAATGTGAATGCATTGACATAAGCATTGACTGTAAATAATAGTGCTAAGTTAGAAGGTAAAGAAACTATTATAACTGAAATACCAAGCAATTATAGAGAAGGTGAAATCTGGGGGAGAATGTTCTTAAAGAATTCTAAAGTTCTTGTAAACAAAGGAGGCAAGAAAGATAAATTAGCTTTTCACTGTTTTGAGTATTTGTGTTAAGTATTTAAATGTAGCTACAACAATGGAAGAAAGCATATGTATATCTTTCAAACAGGTAGAGGAAAAACCAAACAAAAATATAGCCAATTGAATAAAAGGCAGAAAATAAGAAAGACACAATAAACAGTTATGAATACAAAAATAATATGATATAAATTGCCCTAAGATAACAATAATCACAGAGATAGTTACTAAATTATTTGCTATCAATTCTATCATAAAATGATATTAGAAAAATAAAATAAATCCAGCCACATGCTATTCAAAAGTGCCATCCATACAATAAAACTAACTTTGAAAGATTGTTATAAAAGGATGGAAATATAAACATATATACTATTGCATATGTTCAAATATGTTCATGATATTTCTGTTGGAAATAACAAAGTATCGGAAAACAATATATTCAATGGGGGAATTGATAAATATTTAAAGACTTTTTAAACTTATATTCTCCTATTATATTTTTATAATCATTTATGGTGCATATGAATGTAATTGCTTTCAGGTATTTATTTTGCAATTATTTGCATTCTTTTTTTTTTCTGAGACGGAGTCTTGCTCTGTTGCCCAGGCTGGAGTGCAGTGGCACGATCTTGGCTCACTGCAAGCTCCGCCTCCTGGGTTCATGCCATTCTCCTGCCTCAGCCTCCCAAGTAGCTGGGACTACAGGCACCTGCCAGCATGCCCAGCTAATTTTTTGTATTTTTAGTAGAGACGGGGTTTCACTGTGTTAGCCAGGATGGTCTCGGTCTCCTGACCTCGTGATCTGCCCTCCTCAGCCTCCCAAAGTGCTGGGATTACAGGCATGAGCCACTGCGCCCGGCCTGCATTCTTAAATATTTTGTTAATAATCTAATCTCTATATATTTGTATATTAGCCTCTTCTTTTCATTCAATGGAGAAAAGTAAATTTTATCATGTTGCAATAGCTACACTTCCAGATAAAAACTAAATCATATTATGGGACCTGGTATATCAGTTCTCCTGTGTTAAATGGGAATTCCCTGAGCACTTTACTATTGTATATGATATTATTTGTTAGTATGATTATATTAGTTAGTTCTCACACTGCTATAAAGAATGACCCGAGACTGCATAATTTATGAAGAAAAGAGGTTTAATTGTCTCGCAGTTCTGCAGGCTGCACAGGAAGCATGATTGGGGAGGCATCAGGAAACTTACAATAATGATGGCAGGGTAAAGAGGAAGCAAGCACATGTTCATATGGCAGCAGGAAACAGAAAGAATGAAGAGCGGAGTGCTACACACCTTTAAACAAATATATCCCGTGAGAACTCACAAACTGTCATGAGAACAGCAAGAGGGAAAACCAAACCCCATGATCCCATCACCTCCACTCCAGTCCCTCTCCCAACATTGGGAATTACAACTGGATATGAGATTTGGGTGGGGACACAGAGCCAAACTGTATCAATGATATAATTTTTTTTATCATGCTAAGATAGGCTCTTCAATTCTTAGTTTATATAAACAGAGATAAAACAAAAATGAAGAGTTTTTTTGCTAAGAAATGGAGAATTTTATTAAAATCTATTATTTCTATTGAGATGATATGGTTTGGCTGTGTCCCCACCCAAATCTCATCTTGAATTGTAGCTCCCATAATTCCCACCTGTTGGGGGAAGGACCCTGGGGGAGATCATTGAGTCATGAGGGTGGTTCCCCCATACTGTTTTTGTGGTAGTGAATAGGTCTCATGAGATATGATGGTTTTTTAAGAGGAAACCCCTTTCACTTGGCTTTCATTCTCTCTTGCCTGTTGCGATGTAAGATGTACCTGATTGTGAGTACTCCCCAGCCACGTGGAACTGTGAGACTACCAAACCTCTTTTTCTTTATAAATTACCCAGTCTCGGGTATGTCCTTATCAGCAGTGTGAAAACGGACTAATAGAGATGATCAGATAATTCCTCTGTTTTGCCCTGCTGATACGTACATTAATACTTTCTTGTTATTAAACATTTTAAAATTTTAGATTAAACCATAATTGGTTATAATGTGCATTATTTTGTTATATTTATTATTCTGTTTGGTATTTTACTTTGAATAATTGGATTTATGTTTTTAAGTGAGATTATTATTTT
The DNA here is from genome assembly GCF_000001405.40 of Homo sapiens. Classification (NCBI taxonomy): domain Eukaryota; kingdom Metazoa; phylum Chordata; class Mammalia; order Primates; family Hominidae; genus Homo; species Homo sapiens. The sequence continues at coordinate 22,416,991 of NC_000002.12, read as the reverse complement.
GCAGTTTTCTTGAAAACTCTATTTTATCTTTAAAAAAATCCATTATCATTGCCAATTCACCAAAAGTTCAGTTAAGGCAGGAACCAGATTTGGTTTGTTTATCATTTGCTAAACACATCATTTATGCTTAGCCCTGTGCCTGGTACACAGCAGAAATTCATAAACCTTTGTTGAATAAATACTGCAATCCAACTTTTGTCAATAGCATTCTGTTTAAACTAAGTTTTAAAAAATCATTTTTTCTTGAAAATTAAAATATTATTTTGAAAGAGTTAAAGACTTACATGTGCTGTCCTATTAAAAAATTTAATCAGATTAGCAATAAAATTTAAAAGTTTAATTTGTAAATAGAAACATAATGCATTTTTTAAAACAATTTTTCTAAAATAAACATGGGATACATGTGCAGAACATGCAGGTTTATTACATAGGTATACATGTGCCATGGTGGTTTGCTGCATCTATTGACCCAACCTCTAATTACCACCCTTCATCTCCCACCCTCCAACAGACCCTGGTGTGTGTTGTTCCCCACTCTGTGTCCATGTGTTCTCCTTGTTCAACTCCCATTTATGAGTGAGAACATGCAGTGTTTGGTTTTCTGTTCCTGTGTTAGTTTGCTGAGGATGATGGCTTCCAGATTTATCTGTATCCCTGCAAAGGACATGGTCTCATGACTTTTAATGGCAGCATAGTATTCCATGGTGTATATGTACCACATATTCTTTATCATTTCTATCACTGATGGGCATTTGGGTTGATTCGCTGTCAACCTGAGACCGAAACTGGGAAAAGACACAACAAAAAAGGAAATTTCAGGCCAATATCCCTGATGAATACTGATGCAAAAAAAAAAAAAAATAGAATACTGGCAAACTAAATCCAGCAGCACATCAAAAAACTTATCCACCATGATCAAGTCAGCTACAACTTTGAGATGCAAGGCTAGTTCAACATATGCAAATCAATAAGCAAATCTATCAAATAAACAGAACCAAAGACAAAAACCACATGATTATCTCAATAGATGCAGAAAAGGACTTTGATAAAATTCAACATCCCTTCATGTTAAAAACTCTCAATAAACTAGGTATTGTTGGAACATATCTCAAAATAATAAGAGCTATTTATGACAAACCCACAGCCAATATCATACTGAATGGGCAAAAGCTGGAAGCATTCCCTTTGAAAACCAGCACAAGACAAGGATGCCCTCTCTCACCACTCCTATTCAACATAGTATTGGTAGTTCTGGCCAGGGCAATCAGGCAAGAGAAAGAAATAAAGGGTACTCAAATAGGAAGAGAGCAAGTCATATTGTCACTGTTTGCAGAAAACATGATTTTATATTTAGAAAACCCTATATCTCAGCCCCAAAGCTGCTTAAACCGATAAGCAACTTCAGCAAAGTCCCAGGATACAAAATCATTGTGCAAAAATCACAAGCATTCCTTTACACCAACAATAGACAAGCATAGAGCCAAATCATGAATGAACTCATTCAAATTGCTACAAAAAGAATAAAATGCCTATGAATACAGCTAATAAGGAATGTGAAGGACCTCCTCTAGGAGAACTACAAACCACTCCTCAAGGAAATAAGAGAGGACACAAACAAATGGAAAAACATTCAACCTCATGGATGACGAAGAGGCAGAGTGCTGGAGATGAAACATGGTCTAGAATAGTAGTCAGGAGGCTATCAGAATCAGAATACAAGTACAATTTCAGATTTTGTTCTAAGTGTGGTAAGAAGCTATTAGAGGATTTCGAGCAGGAAATCTAAATGGTCAGATTTGCATCTTAAAAGATTGGGCTGGGTGCTATGGCTCACACCTGTAATCCTAGCACTTTGGGAGGCCGAGACAGGCAGATCATTCAAGGTCAGGAGTTCGAGACCAGCCTGGCCAACATGGTGAAACCCCATCTCTACTAAAAAATACAAAAATTAGCCAGGCGTGGTGGCAGACACCTGTAATCCCAGCTACTCAAGAGGCTGAAGCATGAGAATCATTTGAATCTGGGAGGTGGAGGTTGCAGTGAGCTGAGATCACGCCACTGCACTCCAGCCTGGGAGACAGAGCAGGACTCTGTCTCAAAACAAAACAAAACAAAAAAAGATGGTTCTGCTGCTATTGCTGTTGGGAGATGGAGTATGGAGGTAGATGGGTAGAAAAGCAAGTAGATGAGGTTCTTGCATGCTTTCCACAAAAAGATGACCAATTATCTCCAAAACATGTTAAATTGTCTATCTTTTCTTCACTAAGTTAAAGATGTAAAAGTCTATTAGATCTGAACTTTATGGGTACACATCTTCATTTCTTTTGTAAGTTACTCCATAGTTTGAATTGGGTCATGTTTTACCTCATTATTCTTTTCTGTAAACTTCTTTATTGTTGTGCATTTTCTTTTCTTTATCAGCTGTAGAATCAACATAAAAAGATAAATTCTGAAATGTACTGGGATTTATTTGCTAATGAGTATGGAAGAAATTGACATATTTACAATATTGTATCTTCCTAATGAGAAGTCTTTATTTAGGTCTTTTATAAATGTCTATATCACTTTTGACAGATATCTAGTTTGCTTCTTGTTAATGTTGTTCCTAGGAATGAATAGCTTCCTATAGATTTTGTTAATGGATTTTAATAATCACATTCTTAAAATTATTACTAATTTAACTGTATAATGTTTTACATTAATTTTGTATTCAGATATTATATTCTCATATTAGCTCTAACAGTATGTTGGTTGATTCTTTCAAATTTTTTTGTAAATATTTATATTGGCTTCAATTTAGGACTTTTCTGAGTCTCGAATTTTCATTTTCAGTGTTCGTACCTCCCATTTATTTTCTTATTTTAATGCCTTTTCTAGGACCTTCAATAAAACATTAAATAGGCATTGACATTAAATTTCCTTCATCACTAATTAAGTGGAAATCATGTTTTACAATTATATTTTTAAGCCATCATTTAGGGAATACTTACTATTTTTTATTTAATATTCGTAACTATCCAATGATACTCTACTCTGAGTATAAAGCATCCACATTTCATATGAGGAAACCAAGGTATTGAATAAATATGCAACTTACATGTTGCATAGCATTAACAGAGAGTGGAATCCAGGATTTAGGGAGTCTAAATCCAGATTGTATGGGTATGTTGGAAAACCTTTTCAGGATAAGAAAGTTCCTCTTAGTGTACTGAGGATTTTGTCAAGATTGAATGTTTCATTTTATCAGCACTCTATGGAGATAATCATATAGTTGTTCACCTTTGATCTTCTAATATACTGAATTATATTAATAGATTTCCTGATGTTAATCCATTCATGCATTGCATTGCTGGAATACACCCTGCATGGTAATGACACACTTGTATATTTGATTTTGCTATTATTTTATCTACAATATTTCATCTAGATTAATATGGGAAATTAATATATTTTTATTTCATTTAGTAGCTAAGATGAATATTAGGATTATAGTAAGCTTCTGAAATGAAGTAAAGAGACTTCTATGTTTTCTAACAATAAAATACTATTGATCTAAAACAGCTAAATTTTGAGAATATGCTAAAAAGTTTGCGTGTATAACCTCATTGAGTTCCTACAACAGGCCCAGTGAAACAATAATATAACTATCCACCTATTGACAAATAACACCTAAGATGTTAAGTAACTTGGAAAGTGTCGCACAATTAGGAAATGGCACAATACCAGAGTCTTCATTCTTGAGTCTAATAATATTTCTTTATTAATTGAAATGAACTATTTGCTAGAAATTAACTGGACATAATATTATTGTATAGGTAAATCTACAGCTGCCTTTGTACTTGCTTCTGTGATTCTTGGTCTGTGAAGTTCTTCTATTTTGGGGACAAATTTTCTAATTATATTTCCTAAAGGAATAATAACATTTATATATATTTTTGATTATTTTTCTTCCTTTAGAGTTTTGATGTCATCATTGTCTTTATTTCCACTTCATACGTTCGTATAGCAGTTTAGCTGATCAAGGAATTTAAACTCTTAGCACTTTTCAGATATTATTCCTTCAAGCACTGGCACCTACGGTTCTGGGGAGAGAGACTGGGGTTAATCTTAATGTTGGTCTTTGAAGATCTATTTTTTCTCCCTTGTAGCTTCTAAATGCTTCTGCTTATCAGTGATTTTTTTTTTTTTTTTTTTTTTTTTGCAATTTCAAACAATAGGCCTGTGTCTGCGAGTTGAGGTGGGCTCAAGAGTCCACCTCAGGGACCTGTGATTCAGGGGCTTTAACTTATCTATTTCATTCACCCATTTTTTATTCAACAGATATTTATTGAACCTTTCCTATGTTCCAGGTATTGTTCTAGACATGGGATATAAATTAGTGAATACATCAGAGAAAAACCCTGCCCTCATCTAGTTTATAGTCAAATTTGGAAAGCTGGATGGATGACAAAATAAATTAGTAAATTATAGAGCAGTTTATATAATGACAACTCTATGAGGAAAAATAAAGCAGAAAGGGTAGGGTGGAAACCCACATTTGGAGTGGCAATTTTTGTTGGAGTGGACATTTTAATAAACATGGTCGGGAAATCTTCACGGGGAAGGTAGTATTTGAGAGAGTGAGGAATGTGTATCTATAGGGTGGAAGGTTCCAGGCAGAGACCAGCAAATTATAAAGTTGTGTTATAGGATTGTATCTGGCACATCTGAATACAAGCAAAGAGGTCATCATGGTTGTAGATGAGTAGAATACTAGCAGGATATGCAGTCAGATAGCTATTATAGGTCTGGTGGTGTCAAACTTTTCAGTCCTTTTAAAAGTCTCTAGATTGTAATCTACAAGAAATGGTCAACCACTGGGCTTTGAGTAGGAGAGAGTCTCTTTTTTCTTTTTTTGAGATAGGAACTCATTCTCACACCTAGGCTGGAGTGTAGTGGCAAGATCTCAGCTCACTGCAACCTCCACCCCACGCTGCCCCTGTTCAAGCAATTCCCCTGCCTCAGCCTCCCAAGTAGCTGGGACTACAGGCATGCGCCACCACGCCCAGCTAATTTTTGTATTTTTAGTAGAAACGAGGTTTTGTCATGTTGGCCAGGATTGGTAGAAGAGTTTCTTGATTGGGTTTATGTTTCATAAGATCATTCTGATTGTTCTATTGTAAATAATTAATAAAAGATTAAAAAACAGGGAGACTAGTTATAAAGCTGTTAGATATTTTAGATTAAAGATGATAACAGCCTAAAATAGGTAGTAGCATTTGGAGGCTATCAGAAGTAGTATGGTTCTTAACATATTTTGAGGTAGGGTCAAGTGAATTTGATCCTAATTTAACCCCTGTTTCCTCCTTTTCTCTCTTAACCCACATCTGATCCAGATGGATCTAGATGAATTGGATGTGGGTTAAAACAGAAAAGGTAGAAACAAAGAAAATTTTGGCCTCAGCAAATCAAATGATTGAAATGCCATAACAGATCTAGAAAAGACTGAAAAAAGTAAGTTTGAGGGGAAATAACACAAGCTCAAGTTTTGACCTGTTACAATTGAGATGCTTGCTAGATCTCCACATGGATGAGGCTGCTGGAAATCTGAGTATGAACTACCGATATAATCCTGAGACTCTGTTCGGCTCTTACAAAGCATTTAAAGCCAAACAACTGAGGAACTCTCCGAGGGAGAGGCTGAGTATTAACAGACAAGAGAGGAGAGGGGAGGATTACAGAAAAAAAAAAAAAAAAAAAAAAGATTGAGGTTTGTGGCATGACAACACAACAGTGTAAAGATTCTCAGTTTTTCCCACTAACGAGTGAGTCAATATGGAAGGAGGAAAATCGGAAGACTGTGGTACGTGAGATCTTATTTGAAAATGTTTCAAAAGAAAAATTCAAATGCTACTAATATGTAAACACTAATGGTGGAGTTGCGAGGAAGAAGGTCTAGGGTTTAGTTTAAGAAATAATAAAAGAACAGGATTTGGAGACAGTAAAATAGAAATACAGACAACTTTTCAAGGACTTTTGCTGGAAAGGGGAGAAAAAATATGAACTGGTAGCTGGAGGTAGAAATGAAGACAATAGACAAGTATTTTTTTCAATTTTTTAGATGGGAAAAATAAAAAGAGAACTTTTATATACTAGCAGAATAATCCAGTATTGGTTATACAAGGAAGATAAATACAAATTGTTACTGTGATCTTTTTTATTAGTTCTCAAGGAATTAAGAGCTGGTGCAGAAGAGAAAGGATTGATTTTAGCTGAAAGCAGGAAGTTCATCTGTAGTAAGGGCAGAGAAGCCCGCTTGTGTGAGAGCAGATATTGGTACTTGCACACATGGTGACTTGTAAAAGTTCTCCTCTAATTGCTTCAGGTTTTCCGTGAACTAGGGAGTAAGGACACTGAGTAAAAGTAAGGATAGTGGAGGAAGCATTGTAGGTTTGCCAAAATGAAAAATAACTAAGATAGCCGTCTATAAGATTGGGAGACTTAATAGACTAGAGAAATGTATTATGATTACTATTTATATATAAGGAGTTCTATATATATATATATATATATATATATATATATGAGTTCCATATATATAATTATGTATATATGTGTGTATATATATGTATATATAACTATATATATAACTATGTATAAAACTATGTGTATATACATAACTATATATATAAATAGTTCCAATAGTTGAACAAGAAATAGATGAACATGCCAAAGAAACATGAAATAGAACTTGTGTTTACAATAAACACACAATATATATGTAGAGAGATGGCCAATAATCAAATGAAATAATGTTTAACCTCAATCCTAATCTAAGAAAACTAACACACTGGTTGATATTGCTCGAAGCATTTTTTTTTTCTTGAGAGCAGCTTGTGAAAAGATATAACTGATTTCAACTATATGCCTATTCTTTTACTTGCCTTAAGGAATTTTTCCCTCAAGGAAATAATTGATTATGCTTGAAAACTTTTAATCCTACATTGTTATCTCTACTGTTTCTGAACATTGGAAAAAAGCAAATGTTGAAAAAAGGAAACTGCCTAAGTAAATTGCTTGTGAAGGCAATTATATTACATTGAACCAGTAAAATGCTGTTAATTGTAGATGAATATCTAATTTAAAAATTTATAATACACATAGATGAATTCATGATTCTAATTAGGTAGTGTTCTCTTTTAAAAATGTGTATATTTTACATATGCATTTAATTATAAAAATGGGAATTATTGTCCTTGATATTTGTATCAGTTTGGGTCCATTTATTAGTTTTCACCCTGACAAAGTTTTTCTTGATCCTTTGTGTTTTTTTGTTCATTTCTGTGGGTTTTGGGCAGAGAGTGGTGATAATTTGTAAACTGGTAATTACAGTGTCATCTTTCTGGGCAACTCAGCTCACTGAATGCTTCTGCCTGGATCTGTGACCTGAAATGATTTTCATTTTAGAAAGATTATTCAAGTATCACAAGTGGTATAGTTTGGACAGAGATAAATTGCACACATGGAGACCAACTATGATCCTTTTCAGGAATCTATGAGAGAGGTAATGAGCATCAAGGAAGTAAGCAGTGGGAATAGAGAATAGGGGACAGGGTGGAGGTTCCAGATGTGATGTATGAAGGGAAGCCTCCTAATATTCAGGCAGAAAACCACATACCAAGAGGACCTTCCAGAGAAACCTACAAAGGCAGAAAGGAGCATGAATTAGAACCAATTTCTTCCCTACTAAAAAAGGCAATCTCTGCTTATACAACAGCTTTACTATTACAATTTTAAAATGATAGGGTTATTTTTGTCCTCAGTTACTCTGTCTGTGTTTAATTATGCACCACTGTAATGATGGGAAAATAGCAGCTATTTTGAGTGTGCTGTACCTTTTCAGGCTCTGTATCCCCTCTCCATGTGACACTGGAGTTAAAAAGAGGAACACAAAACAGAAGAGGCGCAGGTGGCTGTGTTTATGGCCTTCAGGGAGATATGATTACTTCACTCAGCTGATTGCTACCTGAAGGAAGTCAGATTACAATTAAGACTGTCAGGTAAAGCACACAATTAAAGTTCATTGCAAATTCTGTCGACAAACTGGTATTAGCTGGGAAATGCACTCTGGCAAACAGATGTATACTAGAAAATAGAAAGGGAGTGTTTTCTTCTAGAACAAATCTACTTTATCAAATCTGACACTTTCACATGAGCTCTGGGTTCTGCACTAGAAAGAGCTTCTCATTTGATTTCAGCAATTGGCACATAACATGCCGCCTAGAGATGAGTTGACTCATTAACTTATTTTGCTTAGTAGAGAAGGTAGAGGTGAGAGAAAACATGCTTAGCTCACCACATTTTGCTGTTTGCCTTCCAGATTTGTTTAAGAGCCAAAAATGTTGCATTCTACTCTGTAAACTAAGCAGTAGAATCGTGGTTCTAAGATCGGGAAATTCTTATCACAAATGTAGGAAAAAGCCATAGCTCTCCTTTAAAAGTTGGCTTTTAGTCAACCAGATAGTGTGGCACACTCAACCCATGTGTTATTAATCTCTTTAACCATTTACTTGCATTTATATGCACTGATAAGAAAGAGTTCCTATAGACAAACAGCAATTCCTTTTCTGAGATGGAGTCTCACGCTGTTGCCCAGGCTGGAGTGCAGTGGCATGATTGTGTCTCCCTGCAATCTCTACCTCCCGGGTTCAAGCAATTCTCCTGATTCAGCCTCCTGAGTAGCTGGGATTACAGGCATGCACCACCACACCTGGCTAATTTTTGTATTTTCAGTAGAGTAGGGGTTTCACCATATTGGCTGGGCTGGTCTCGAACTCCTGACCTCAGGTGATTGGTCCACCTTGGCCTCCCAAAGTGCTAGGATTACAGACGTGAGCCACCACACCTGGTTGACAAACAGCAATTCTGCTGTTTCATTTTACTCCACCACTAACTGTATATATCATTACCTCTTAATAAACTAGAGTGTTCCTGGGGCCTATTCATACCACAGCCATTACTGCTAATGGGAGTTGAGCACGGGCATGGAGGAGGAACTAAAACTCCTACTCCCAGCCTCCATTCTGTGTTTTCCTCACTTAACAATATTTCTCATCTGGTGAGCAATGGAGGCAGTTGAGGTGGGGAACAGCTGTCACACAGGAATTCCACTCCAGGGGAAAGAGTTTGCTTTGCTCAGTAACACCAGGAGCCAACAGTCTGGAGTAGACCACAATCTACACAGGAAACTTCAGACCACCATTAGAATCTCTTGGGAATCAGTCAAATCAGAAAAATAAAAAAAGAAACACATAGTATCCTAGGTTGGGGAGAAGTGTTTTCTGCCAGGGACATTCTCTTCCCTGATTCTTCCTGGCACTTTATTACTCCCTTGGGAAAATTTACCCCTCTGCATGCACTGCAATCAATGTTAAATAGAGTTAGGATGAAACTTGAAAAGCCCGTGGTAAGACCTGGAAGAATGGTCATTTTCTCTCTCCTCCCCTCAGAGTATTTGGTGTCAACCGTGCACAAACATTGGGTCTACTCTGCGTTAGTGACACTAGCTCATACCTAGATGGCCCCCTCATTCCCGACAAACGCTGTCTTGTCCATGCGATAGTCATATGTAGCCTAAGATGTGTCCAGCTCTTCTATGGACTGCCTGTGGCAGTAACCCAGTATATTTTGTGAAACCCAGAAAGGGTGTTGACCTTCTAGTGCATCCTTTCTAGTACATGTTTATTAGTTATTCATTACACAGAGTGAAGTATGTAAAGGGCAAAAAGTTTAGGTAAATAGCATGATATGTTTTTATATGTGTACATTCATATAACCACCATCACCTCATTTTAACAAATGTTATTTGCACTTACTTTAGTAAAACCTTCAAGAACACCTCAACTTCCATTTCTTCTTCCTTCAGGATACAAAAACATTACATTCCAATCTTCTGTCTTCTGAGGTGTTTTGGAGTTACATTTCTTCTTTTTACTCAAGATGTCGCAGGCTTTTAGACTTCTGTTACCTGGAAGGGAAGCTTGGCTATGGAAACTCAACAAACTCTCCCAAAATAACAAGCATTTGTATGGCAGGGGTGAAGATCTTGTGAAACATTCAGATATGTAAGAGATGACATCTGATTGCAATTTACTCACAGTAGTAAAGAGGAAAAGGAAATGAAACTAGCATATGATCAGTGCATACTCTGGGTCAAAGATTGTTGTGGGTGATTTATAAAAGTGTGGCCTTTAATCTCCCAAGCATTTTCTATGTAAAACCAACCTGTGTAGTCTCCTGTGTCTCCGTTATTTCTATTACCCACTACTAAACATTTTATCAGTGACCATCTGTTCCACAGAGCTTTTCTTATGGGTATTCCTTGTCCTGGTCCTATTCTTCTCTATTTTTCTCTCTGTTTCTCTCTCTCTCTCTCTCTCTCTCTCTCACACACACACACACACACACACACACATACACACACATACACACCCCTTACTCTGAGCATCCTTTCTTGCCTTCTCTTCTTCATTTCTCTGCTCTCTGGTGTACCTTGATATCTCAGAGACTAATGAAAGCCTATCTATGGTTGTTTCCTGGTAACACTGGCTCCCAATCTTGGGTGCTTGGCCACCTAGTAAATTGCCTTCTTCAGTCATTTCCCACTGGCACAGAGAGACTCAAAGATTCCAAAAGTGACAGCTCTCCCGTGGAAGGAAGCATATGCCACTTTAAAATTTGGCCACTGGTAATAGCTGAGTCATCTCTCACCCTTTTGGATGCCTAATTTCTTCATTTGATTCCAGAATATTTCTCTCTCTCTCTCTCAACCATTGTAAAGCATTCATCATTCCAAGCCAATATCTACATGAGTCTTTTCTATTATTTTAATTGCCATTATCTTTTACATCCTATTCAAAGCAATTTAAAACAATGAAGCAACATCTATTTTAATAGAATCGTTAACATATTTCAGGAGCTTTTCCATTTGATTCTCACCCCACACTGGGATCTAGCCAAGGTGGGCATTATTATCTCCACATTTTCAAATACTGAGGGAAGAGAAGCAATAGGGCTAATTAACCTGTCAGGAGTCACTTCTCCCAACCTGCAATTATCTATATATTTTGTATTTTCTGTGTACTCCACTATAATATCAACTTCAGGAGAAACAGGGCCACTTATGTGAGGTTCAGTGTTTTATTTCTCAGCTTTTATCCCTGATAAATCAATAGCCAGCCACCAACTTGAACTTGGGCCTCAGGTCCAAAATGGTGTCAGGCTGGGTAGTGGGTGTGCAGATTCTGCTCATTGTTGAGGCCTCCACTTGTGTTTCCCTTACTTTGAGTTTATTTCTCATTACCTGCAAGGCCTCCTGTAGTATTCAGTTTTTCCCTAGGTTCTAGCTATCTCTGCTTCAGTAATACTCTTAATTAGGGTTGTTGACACTTTACCTGTCTTGATGCTTAGGGCTTTTGGACATTTCATCTCTTCAATACCCAGATTTTATTCAACTGATTGGCATGACCCAGGGAAGTTAATATTCATATAGCCCATGAAGCAGAGCCCCTTTTCCTTAATGGTCAGCAGTCAAGCTCCCAGGGCAGGTGAGAGTTCTGAGCACAGCCCTGTTTCTTCCCATCTCCCCTGAGAGAGTTCCTTCTTAGTCCTTTTATCCTGGAGCCCCTGCTGCATCTCTGCTCCTATTCTTTGAAACATTATGGGTCTTAATTCCCAGATGTTGTCAATCCCTTCTCCATATTTAGTCTACATAAAAACAATAATGGAAACAATAACCCCAAGAAATAATAATTCTTGTTTCATTTATTACCTTTTTAGATTATAATGTGACTATGCAAATAAATAGTCCCAAATCAGTTATTTTATGATAAGCTCTTTAAAAATTGATCATTTTGTTCTTTCTTCCTCCAGCCTCTCAGTTGGGATTAATCAAGTTAATTGCCATAAGATTAAATTAGTCCATCATGTCAGTAGATTTTTACTTTATTCTAGAATTTCCAGTGTTGGCAATTATCAGGCACCTAAGAAACAAATCGCTGCTTTAAACAGTCCCATTGTTTGCATGGTGTCCAGTTAATAGTCCTGTTAGCAAATAGGATAAGAATGATTTTTGGCTTTAGGATAAAAATCGGGCTTCTTACCAGAGTGGACTTTGCAGAGCATTGCATACAACTCCAGTTAAATTCTGATTTGCAACGTGATGCTAAAGTAAGATTCAGTTAAACAGATTTTTGAAGAGAAGTCTTTGAAAGAGCAAAGCACCTGTGCTGACTTTTCAGTGCTCAAAGTCCCCTGTCCTTCCCCTCAGAGGGACACAGTCTGACCTCCTGCACGTGGTTGCCAATGATGGTTGTATTTCGACTGTTGCCTCCTGGACTTGCCAATAAAACCAGATAAAAACATGGTGCTGAAAAAACTAGGAATTCAAAGATTTTAGCAATATGTGCTTTACTTTAAAAAAATAGGTAGAAAAGGAGAAAATTGTGGACCTCCAAGTTTAGCTCAGTTTGAGGTTTTCTTTAGGTGTGGGGGCTCTAATTAGTCCATTCACACACTAAATACCTTACATCTGAATGTACCAGGGCTTTGGATTCATGCAGATGTCAGTGTAAATCTTGGTTCTGCTGATGGCTGGCTGTGTAAACTTGTTGGTGCTTCTTACTCTTTCTGAACCTTTCTTTTCCCATCCCTGAATCAGGGATAGTTGTATGCACCTCATAGTCTTGCACCAAAGATTAATTAGAACAATTAGAATAATACAGGTTTGCACAGACTGACATTGAGTAAATGCTGCAGTCAATTTTGTTCTTGTGGATACTACTACATTACTACTTTTCATTTATGTATTATCTTATATATTCAACAAATACTTATTGTCCCAGGTACCTTGCAAGATGCTATGGATATAGACACAAATAATGTGCAGTCCCTGCCCTTACTGAGCTCATGATCTGGCAGGAATCACAGATAAGTAAATCCTGCAATTATAGTTCAAAAAGTTAAGTGCCTCAATGGAGGGGAAGACAGATACTTTAACTGTCACATTCCCATCACTTTGTGCTTGCTGCTGGGAGGAAGTTTCTCCTGCATTTAGCGCCATGTGAGGAGCAGAGAGGGTTGCTTTTCCCTGTGCCTAGTTGGCCTAAAGTGCAGTTGAACCACAGCAGGGGGGCTGACAATGAAGCCTCCACACATATTCTGTTGGGCATATCACCAGGTTGTTAGTCCAGAGTTCAGGATTTTTCTCTATGTCCTGTTCCTCAGCCAGTTGTAAAGAAGTACAAGCCCGGCCAGGCGCAGTGGCTCACACCTGTAATCTCAGCACTTTGGGAGGCTGAGGTGGGTGGATCACGAGGTCAGGAGTTCGAGACCAGCCCGGACAATATGGTGAAACCCCACCTCTACTAAAAATACAAAAATCAGCCAGGCGTGGTGGCATGCACCTGTAGTCCCAACTATTGGGAGGCTGAGGCAGAAGAATCGCTTGAACCTGGGAGGCAGAGATTGCAGTAAGCTGAGATCGCGCCACTGCACTCCAGCCTGGGTGACAGAGTGGGACTCTGACTCAAAAAAGAAGAAGAAGCACAAGCCCTTTGTGGAACTTGTATTAACACTCTGCCATCTATCTTGGAATCTAGAAAAAATTGAAAGCCCACAGCCTTATAAAATGTGTGCAACAGTCTTTTATCCCTGTAGTTATATTTGAGCCTAACGATAGCCCCCTTAAGAAGCTGAGGCCTAAAGGGCAGAGTTATTTCCATTAGATGAGACGGCTACAGGGGTGGGACAGAGGCCTCCTGATTCCTGGTCCACAGCTACTTCTCTCTGATGAGACATCTGTCAGAGCAGCATTACAGGCAAGGAGGCATCAAATCAGTGTCATAATTTAATAACAACATCTAACTACCAAGTGCCTATTTTAGTAATAGGTGCTGTTCAAAGCATTCATATAGTATTATCCATTTGAATCTTTAACAACACCAGCACTTACACTCTTTTATTCCCGTATTACAAATAGATTAATAGTGATATTAAGTAGTTGTGCAAGACCACACACTGGTAGCTGGAAGGGGAAGGATTTGAGCAATCTGTCTGACTCTCTTAATGCCTCTCCACATAGTCCTTCCTCTGTATCATTTTCTGATGGATCAACCCATGCTCAAATGCTCAAACTTGTGCCGAGCCCTCCAGGGTCAGATGCAGTGATGCGACCCCTGATTGCAGGGTCTAATCATTTCACCTTCAAAGTGGAGGGGAATACTGGCAAAGTCGGAGCACAGATTCATAAAGCTATGGATTGTCAGAGTGGGTCTTCAAAAACATCAGCCCTTCTGTTGAAAGTAAGACATGGGCTAAGATACCTGATTGATGATCTGACTAGGACCTGATTGCTTTTATTCTTTCATGCATTTACTAAATTTATCCTTGAGTGTGTCCTGTGAGGCAGGCAGTGTCCAATGTCCGGGGAGAGCGACCGAGAGGAACAAACATGCTCTGCCACTGTGAGTAAAGAAGGCTCTTTGAGGTCTTGCCTTTCCCAAATGCAAGTCATGCTAATATGTGGACACTGCCTCCACCATTTCTTTTTCCTGAAATGCCCTTCACTTCTTAGAAATGCTTATTTATCCTTTGAGGCCCAAGTAAAATGTTACTCTATCCCTGTAGCTTTCCTTACATTTGTGGGAAAATTTATTCACCATCATCTCTGTATTCCATAGCACTCTCTAGATACAAATCTTTTAGCATTGCTTTGTAGTGATGCATCTACAGGCCCTCCCTAGATCCTTGGCAGAAATCATATGTTGTCATCATCACATCTGCAATATCCAGAATTGACCTTGAATCATAATAGAGATTGAGTGAATGCGTAGGTTCTGTGTACTTTTCCTACCATGTCATTATTTCTCATTATTCTTTTATTGTCTCCTGTGTCCTGTCTGTAGATACCTTGATGTCAGGGTCAATGGTTGCCCTTTTGCATTTTTCCTCATTAAAGTAGAACCCAATGCAAGGAACATGACACATATTTCCTGTCCATGAGAGGTAGCTGAGTATGATATGCAATTTTTCAGGGTTAACTTCTCAAACTCTTGGGTCTTTAGAAAGTGGTAGTGGTAGCATGCTCCCAGCTGGGTTCACAGCTTGTAACAGCAAATATCCCAATGGGGTCCCATACTGCAGAGAGGATTCTGAGACCCGTTCTTAAAGACCATATCATCTGTAGTGACTTCCTTATTCCCAGGTAGTACTGTACCCTTGGAGGTCTCTTGACACCTGCTCTTACTGTACTATCTCTAGGTGAACTAGTCTTTAAATACTCAAGGTTTGGTAGGGATGCAATAGTCATTCATTCTTTCTATTCATAGAAGAATAATTCATTGAGTACCTACTAAGTGCCTGGAACTACCCAAAGTGTTTGCAATACATCAGTGAACAAAAATAACCCCAAATTCCAACCCACATAGAGTTTTACATATCAGTAAAGGAAGAAACAATAATTAATATGTAGAACAAATAAAGACATTTTATAGAAACGTCTATAGATATTTAGAAAATGAGCAGGGTAAAGAAAAAGAGCTCAGGGAGAGATAGCAGGATGGAGGCACTAGTGATTTTAAGGCTAGTGGTAAAGATAGGACTCCTTGTGAAGACAGGGCTTTAGCCATGTGGATTTCTGGGGACGAGTATCCCAGGAAGAGAAAATATCCAGGGAAAAGCCTCTAAAATATGAATATACTCACATATATAGTTTTTAAATGATGTAACAGATTTTAATAATGGTGTTCCCTGCCTCTTTCTCTCCCTCTGAGATTCCTCCTATTCTTTGAAATATGAATTAAATTAATAGGTTTGAAATGGTAGGGCCTGTCATGATTGATGTGAAACCCCACAAGAATGGATACCACAGCCTGTGGCAGAAAGAAGGCTTAGCCCTCATGATGGTTAGAGACTTGAACACATCAGAACTCAAAAACTGTCACAGTTATTAACACATTCCAGCCTCAGGAAAAGAGGTTTCCATGCAGAGATCTGTTCAGGCCTGCCTACTTCTCTCTGCTCTGAGCAAAAGCCTTTTAGATCCCGGTGGTAGAAGGGAGTAGAAAGGGCAAAGGGCAACGCCTATGTTGTGGCTGGGTCCCTGAGCCTGACTTATTCCTTTGCATAGCCCATCAGGGAGCCTGATCTTGGTTAGAGGGAATGAGTTGTACAGTTGGAGACAGTACTGCCTGAGTTTAGCCAGAGGATTCAATCACTGTCAAACACTTTCTGCCTGTGTCTACTCTGCGTGTCAAGTCTCTGAGTTCTGGTCATAATGTGCAAAGAACAGGCACAATCCTCTGCTCACAGTGAGTTTAAATGATACTAGGGAGGTAAGAAACAGTCACATAAAAACAGTCAACAACTGAATTTCTAAGTGAGTGCTTCTAGAAGTCAATGGAGTAAGAAATCAGGGAAAGAGACATCCCATGGATATGAGGCACCAGTGAGGGCTTCTTGGAGGAGGTGAGGTCATGAATTACAAGTGGGAGGTATGAGGCTGGTGAAGGAAGACCTTTTCAGGCCGGATCAAGTGACTGGCAGAAGAACCTGGGCGAGCATCAGGGGCCAGCAAGGGAAGAAACCTTGAGAGAATGTAAAAAGCCACTCAGTGCAGCTCAGTAGGTTTTTTTGATGCCATTCTATTGCTATCATGGTGTTCGTTGTAACCATAATTCTCATCAACAAAAACAGCGAGGTGTAGTCTGGTGGAGAGAGATTAAACTTTATATTCAGAGGACCGAATTTAGTCCTAGCACCATCAATGCCATGTCAACTAGTGCTTAATCATAAACTGGGCGTCAGTCTCTTTGCCTATAAAATTAAAATAACTCACAGAATTTTGAGAATCAGTTTAAATAATTGTCATAGATTCTTTGTGAAGGACAAAACGAGACACATGCCCACTGCTCATCACTGGCACCATCTTGATTATGCTACATGGGTAGCTGTTTCCCAGAAGCTTCTAATCTAAACGTGAGACAGCTGATAACTGTTAAGAACACAAACAAACAAAACGTACACAGGGACAAATATTATCTGCTAGAATGAAGCTATACTAACATGATAACAGCTTATCTGCTCAAACCATAGGAGGGCTTTTTGTCTGTGACAGAGTTTCTAGGGAGTTTTTTGTTTTGTTTTGTTATGTTTTCTGCAGCTATACCCCCCAATCTATCATCGTGGCTTTGCTTGAGACACTGCTGATAAGCAAATGGGTGTCTGTTGCTCACCTCTGCAAGTTCTATGGAAATCAGGGTATAGATAGGGTGCCCATGAAATTAGCCATTCAAACAGGGCCATTTTGGGAAGTGAAAGGAGATGCTAGTAACCAAGATTGTTCTAGGACCACAGTCCTGTAATTTGGGCTGCATCTCAAAGCCTTTGAGATCGCTGTACCCTTTTATTGACAAATTGTAAGTACATACATTTATAGGATACAATGTAATGTAATGTTTTGAAATATATAAACAATGTGGAATGATTAAATCAAGCCATCTAGCATATCCGTCTCTTGGCTTACTTATCATTTTTTCATGGTGAGACATTTGACATTTACTCTCTTAGTAATTGTGAAATATGCAATCCATTGTTATTGACTCTAGTCACCCTGCTTTGCAAAAGATCGTAAAACTTATTCCTCCTGTTTGTCTGAAACCTTGTACCCTTCGTACCCTTGGTACCCTCTCTGTCCCACTCCCCTCAATCTCTGGTAAACATCATTCTACTCTCTAATTCTGTGACTTCAAATTTTAGATTTCACATGTAAGTGAGATCATGCAATATTTGTCTTTCTGTCCTGGCATTCTATTGAATGAATATGTCTTGAAGTGTATTATGGTAGAGATTGCTTTAATCTCAATCCTATGATATTACTCTGAGCTTGAGATCTCTTTAGACAGAAGATTCTTCATGGCTAAAAACCATTAAGACCCTTGTACAGAAGAGGTAGATGTAGACAGGAAGTGTTGTCAATGTTGAAACTGTCATCGAACCATCTATTAGTTAAAACTCATTAGGTTTGAATTCTCATGCTAAGAGAAAGCCCTGCTGCTGAAGAGGCACTAATCAAGGTCTGATGAATGACTGAATAAACTCAGTGTCAAGAAAGGAGAAACAAAATACTGTGCAATTTAAAACCACTTTCACTGCACCTCCTTAATGGGGATGGGGTTTCTCATCACTGCAGAATGCTAAGACTAGCTAGGGGTACTAGTGAGTTATCAGGGATAATAGTAGAAGGTGAAACTAAGTGACATATGAGTCATCCTCCAGACATGAAAATATATGACTTAGGTACTATTTT
Organism: Homo sapiens; assembly: GCF_000001405.40. Lineage (NCBI taxonomy): Eukaryota > Metazoa > Chordata > Mammalia > Primates > Hominidae > Homo > Homo sapiens. The sequence continues at coordinate 22,398,648 of NC_000002.12, read as the reverse complement.
TATTTTTTGGTCTTTAAAAATTTAAATACAACAAAGTTAGCCTTAACCAAACACTTTGTATTTACAGTAACTTTTCAAATCATCTAATAGCTAATATTTACAACTGCCTCCTCAACCTGGAATGCAACCACCTGACAATGATAACAGCATGAGGGTGTGGAAGAAAGGAACATGTTTAGTAAATGCAAAAGATAGATTTAACTTTTCTCTTTTTCTGAGAAGTCACTGCTTTTTCTAACAAATTATTTTTTGGGGTGATAGGGATTTCTAATTTTTTGATATTCCAAATAGTGTATTGCAGATAATTTGTGTATAGATGACAAATATAGAAAAAGTCTACAAAATTATCAAAATTTGATATACTAGATGAGAGGAAAAATATGTTATTTATCTCTTTCTATTTTACCCTTGTTAAATCATACTGTGGTTAACCCCAAAGTCTGAGGGCTTGTGTTTATAAAAAGGAAAATCCTAACACAATTATTAGAATGAGAGAGAGAATGGGGAATCATGATGTAATGTCTAGATTTTCAAAAACATTCTGCTTCAACCAGCCTGGAACTGAGACTTGGGGAAGTGAGTACTTAGCAGCTTCTCTCCAGGTTTACTAACTTTCATACTTACTGTTGTTTCCGTAATTGCATGCCAACATAATCCACTGTTTTTCTTCCTGCTATACTGGATGGTCATTGAACTTGAAGTTCCTGCCTTACTTGTTAGGAATGAAGTTCACGGCAAAATGTACAAAATCACAACCACATGAAGGCAATGTATTTTTATATGTTTTTTAAAATAATCATTTCTGCAGACCTATGTTAATCAAATCTGTAAAAGCCTAGATATTTGGACTCATTGCCAAATTATGAGCATGTTAGTGATTCAAAGTGGAGGCTGCAGTGGTCATACAGGAGCTTGGAGAAGGGAAGAAGTTTCAAGAAGTAGAATAAAAAGGCATTTCCTTTTTACGTGGACCAAGTCTGTCTCATTTTCTCACCCAAAAAGTCACTATCATTCAGAGAAAATTGTACCTCATTCCCAAGGATAAAAATTTGGAGGATGAGGACACTCACTTAGAAAAAATATTCAATGGGTGATAGAACTAATATTACAGGTAGACTCAAGTGAATGCCTCTCACAAATAATTTGAGGAATATCATAACACAAAAGACTGAGAAACCAAAACTCACCATGAAACAAAGGAATGCTTTGGGATTAGGGCAAAAGTTGTACAACTGTTTTGGGGGTTATTTACTAGAAACATTGAAACTGGTTCAATTTCCCCATAGAACTGATGTTTATGTTCTTTTTAAAAATAAACATAAAAATCGCCCCTCTCAGTCTTAAAGCTTGAAACTTACATTTGTCTTCTCTGAGTTCTTTTCAGAGGAAACTGACCCACAGGCCTCTCTGATAGTATCAAGGAACTGAAGCCCATTGCATCACCGCTTTTGTACAATGAGACTCTGGATCCCTCACCCCTCATAACTGCCTAACCAATCACCTGCTTCTTTTTTATTTTTTGACACAGAGTCTCACTCTGTCACCCAGGCTGGAGTGCAGTGGTGCAATCTTGGCTTGCTGCAAACTCTGACTCCCGGGTTCAAGAGTTACTCCTGCCTCAGCCTCCCATGTAGCTGGGATTACAGGAACATGCCACCACGCCCAACTAATGTTTGTAATTTTAGTAGAGACAGGGTTTCACCATGTTGCCCAGGCTGGTCTTGAACTCCTGACCTCAGGTGATTCATCCTCCTTGGCCTCCCAAAGTGTCACCTGCTTCTTACTGAACAGTCCTGCACATAGCTACATTCCTTCCCTGCTATATAACTCCCTAACTTTGGTCGCGGAGGAGAGAGGGATTTGAGGTTTGGCTCCGGTCTCTCCAGCTGACATCTCCTGAATAAAGCCTTTCTTCCCTGGTGATATTCATTGTCTCAGTGATTGGCTTTTTCTGTGATGAGCAATGGGTCTTAGACTGAACCACTGGTGTTACGGTAACAACATTGTGTGTTACTAAATGCAACAGAATTAATGTAGTTCTTCATCTTGGAAAATGACATTGTTTTAATAAAATGACATCCTTTTTATGGCTTCAGCATAGCAGTTAAGGCAAAATTATCTATCTTAACAATTACACTAATGATATAGTCAATTGAACAACTTGTCTCCCACTCCATTGGTGGCCTGCTATAGATGTTATGATTTTATCAACAATGATGAAGGAGAAACTTCTCAGTCTGCAAAAGAACAAACTATTTGTACTTTCCCAAATCTGCCATTCTGCCAATGTCTCTGAGGTATTCTTTGTTCATGGGCTTTGTTTAACTCACTTAGGCCATTTCAGAATTGGCTCAAAAATCAGATCCTCATGATTATCAATGGCCTTCCCAGTCTGATTAGATGGTTTTTTTCTGGGCTCCTATCACATTCACAGATTCCTTTTTCATGGATCTCACCACTCTGCATGCAAACCCTGATTTTATATTTCTGACAGTTCAATTAGAACTGAATGTCTTCAGGAATATGTGTGACTACATCTAAAATATACACAATAAATACTCAATATGAAGTTAAAAAAATGAACTTGGGGTTACATGGGGCAACCCCCAATCTCCCCTCTAATATGCTACTTCAGGTTTAACTTTAGCAGAATCACTTGAAAACACCTTTGAGTCCATTTCTTAGCACTCAATGTAATCACTTCTGGTTCTATAATGACAACATACCATGATGGGGAAGAACAGAGATTTCTGGAATTAGCTACTTAGATCATAACCTCTTCCCATAATTGCAAAAAATGGAGAAAGTATTTCCTTTTGCTGCATTCTTTTTTATTCATTGTGTTTCTCTTTGACATATTTTCAAGTGTCTTTATGGTAACTTTAATAGGCTTTAGGAGAGACAGGAGATACACAGAAGTGGTAAAATAAAAGTTGTGACTTAGGCTTGCTTATTTGAATATATTTTTCTTGGTATGGATGGACGAATTAACCAGTGAAAGTATTTAGTTTGGTGTTGGCACATACCATATATGCTTAAAATATATGATCATTATTATTTACAGAGCCCTTCTATCTTTTGTTCACCCTGATTCTGCAGTGGTGTTTCCATTGGATTCTAATGCTTAGTTCTAAATTGTGACTTATCCTTGTAACTTGTCTTTTGGCTTTTCATTCTTATTTTATTTTTTACTGATAGATAATAGATGAACACATTTTAGAGATACATATAATAATTTAATATACTAATATAACTTGTAAAGATCAAATCAGGGTAATTGGGATATCCATCACCTTACATATTTGTTTTACTCTTTATAGTAGAGACATTTTAATTATTCTCTTCTAGCTATTTTGCAATATAGAATAGATTATTGTAAACCATAGTCACCCTACTGATCTATCAAATCAAATACTAGGTCTTACCTTCTTCACCAAACTGCATATTTTTACCCTCTAATCAATCTGTCTCCATTTTTGAAACACTTGACAGACACCAAACAAGCCTTGTCCCTCCTTAATAACTAACCCAGACTCCTAGGACCCCTACCTGGAACCAGTGCACTGGTTCTTGTTTGTTTGTGACTAGATAACATTCCCCCCAAAGCCGGCAATTCAGTATAAAGAAAGATAAAAGCAAATAAATAGAAATTAAACCTACAATGAAAACTCTACACAAAACATGTACAAATTATACTAAAAATCCAGAGAAGGTAGTAATTAACCATATGGAAATTTTATCCTAGAAGGGATAATAACTTCTTGAATTGTAGGAAAGCGTCTTCCTACAAGATTCTTCATTGTCTTTCATCTCAGATTCTAATCTTTTTCTAAACCCTCTCATTTTGTTTTCTAATATACTGCCTCTTACTGCCCCTTTCTCATCATTATAATCCTTAAACTAGGGCCCGTCTTCATCACATGCCTAGAGCACAATACTATTCTCCAAATGGGACTGCTTGTTGTTATTATAACATAGTCCAATACATCCTACACACCTCTGCCAGGTTAAGGAAACTTCAAAACTGTTTTGATCACAGCACCCTATGATAAGAGAAGTAAAATTTCTCTCTAGACCATTAACATAAAAGTTAGAGATTTCTGGTGTGGTTCTAGTATATTTGAAGCTGGAATTCTATCATTTACTGCCAAATATCTATTTCTATATTAATTCATTAATTCATTTATTAAGTTAGTTAGCAGCCACTTAGTCAACATATATTTAATGGTTGGCATCTACTCATGGAACAAGCATTGTAATCAGAACTCAGGCATCTGAGTCCATGGCTGGCTCTTTCTGTCTCTGTATCTCTGTTTCTCTCTTTCCTTTGGTGGATCTGCTTTTTGTCTGTTCTGTCATGCACACTGCCCAGACATATGGCATCCATACCTAATGTTTCCTGAGTATCTTCTGTCTGGCACAAAGGCAGTAAGAAGGTGGGTGTGGGAAATATAATGAATCAAAAGATTCATTTCTTTATTTTCTTCTAACTGCTGCAGCTTTCATAAAATCCAGCCCCATAGGTTATTGATTTTCACAATGGAAGAAAAATGAGTGGGAGTGGAGAATTATGATGTTATGTCCTAAATGAATTTTTCACGGCAAAAGGAGAAGAACAAAATAACAACTATTCTCTGTCTTGGGCAGTTGGTCAGAAATAAGGTTTGGGGTATGGAATAGGAAAGGCAGGAGTGTATTCATCCTCAGGGGAGAGCAAGCATTGATCTCTTGGGTGATTGCCCTCACTACCTCTGAAGCTAAGAATTAGGTTCAATATGTTAGTGCTAAACATTTAAGTCCTTCAAATCTCCAAGGACAGATCCTGCATTCTCTTCCTCTACCTCATTTATGTTTAGGTGAAAACTGACTTAACTTGTTACCTTCCAGCCTTTCTCTTTATTTATACAGAAACCTGGGCCTCAGTAAATTCATGAAAGCTTTGATGAGATGTTTAACTATTATTTCACAAGCAATGTGTTGGAAAGGAAGACAAATAAAGCCAAGTCTCTGCCCCTGTAAGAATTTACTTTCTAACTAAGATAGCAGTAAAAAACCCCTTCTCCTTTTTGCTCATCTCTATGAAGAACATTTATCTCAGTAGCAAGGTGTTGCTGAGAAAAGACATCCATCAGAATCACTTAGAGAACATTTAAAAATGTGCCTTTTTAGATGCAACTTCAGGCCTGTGGTCAGGCTCTCCAAGAGTAGGGCCTGGGATTCTGTATTTTAAAAATGGCAGCAGCAACAACAACAAACATTTCTTACAATTTATATTAGCTACTAGATACAATGCAAAAAGTCATGAATAAGACGATTGGGACGGTGGTACCAAATTCCATGGTGCAAATTGCTACAGATCAAGCATTTAAAACAATATGCTAATCCATGAATCTGACCCCAAAAAGCAGCATAATAAAAGGAAAGATGGGATTGCAGACTTCCGGCAGCTTAGAAATTTCCCTAAAAACATATCTAATAATCTATTGATTAGTGTTATGAGATCTAGAATCAGGGAGGAGGTAAGGAAGAGGTGGAAAATAGTCCTGTGGAAACAGCTCCATAGCTCTTGGCGGTAGAGGAAGAAGGCATAAGAAGAAAGCATGCCTACTGGATATTTCTATCCTCAAAAATATAACCTATTTGCTTAGAAGAAAATATGGTGAGGAAGTTAGTTGAACACAGAGATTCTGTTAGTTAAAGAACTTTGATTTAAGATACACCAAGCTACTAAATACTGAAAACCGGGGTAATATGTGCCCATGAGGCAAAAGATACATTAGAATTGGCCTGGGGGTGATTGAAACAACAAAGTCAGGGAGAGGCTGAAAATGGCACCAAATTGTCCGCCTTCAGCCTTCTGCACCAGGATATGTCAGAAATGACCAGAATTTTTCAAGATAAGAAATTATTGGAGATAAGAGGAAAACTATCAATGAAAAACAGCCATATTTTGGCCAAGTTAACTCCAAAGAAAAAGGAAGAATCATGTCATTTACAAGGTAATGGGTAGAGTGGGAACCTCAGGTTATAGAGGACAAAAGGATCAAAGGAAGAGATCCTCAGCCTCTGTATCCTTGAGAGTAGAAGGGGAATTCACTTATTCATCCATAAATTTATTCAGCTATGCTTAATGGAAAACATATTATGTGCCAGTCGCTATTCTAAGATTTGAGAATACAGTCATTCACAATATAGACTATAGCCCATTTATCATAGAGCTGATATTCTAATGGAGGAAAAAAGCCATACAAGAGATAAACAAACAAGAAAAATGTGTTATGGAGTTAGAAAGGCCTGGTTTCAAATCTCAGCTGTGCCACTTACCATCTGTCTTGTTCTTAATCTTGCTGTGACTATTTCCTTCTCTGAAAATTTGAGATAGGAATGCTGACCTTGAAAGGTTGTAATGCGAATAAGAGGAAATCTGTGACGCTGAATATTACCTGTAATATAGTAAGCATTTTATTAAAATTTGTTGAATGGAAATTTGGTAACACAAAGGAGCCAGTTAAAAGGGATAGAATGGAATTAAAAGCACAGTGAAAGCATTTACTCTTAAAGGAGTAGAAGGATAATTGATACACACAGGCATACATACACGGAGACATACATGATGCATAGATACACATGTTTATACTCATACAAAGATTTTATATATATATATACACACATATATATGAGAGTGATGGATACATACACACACACACACATGCATGCATAGATAGATAGATAGATACCATAGGGAAGGATGAAAAAATGGGTATAAAAATATAGATAAATTGAATTGATGAGTTTGAAATAGAGGAGATAAAGCAGTTCTATTTTTTTCTGTAAACTGGAAGGTAACAGGGTAAAGGTTAAAGCATTTGAGGAAAATGGTGATATTGAAGAGGAAAGTGATGATGTAAAAGAATTCGGAGTGGAGAGTGACCTACATGGGCTTCATATTTGTAGGCTAAGAACCCTGATTTCACCACTGAAAACAGTTCAGTGTTTCAGAGACATCACAATAAGAAGCTATTGAGGACGTATATCTAAACAAGGAGCCCAGTGATGTACTGAGAAGTAGCATGGTCAGAGAGAAGTCAGAACTTCTGTGGAAATTGTCAGCTTCTTTCAGTAGAAAGTCCTGCACTGGAAGCCAGTTGACAATCACAGAACTATCCAAGTAAGTCATAGAACTTCAGAAAATAATTCTGGGTCACATTAACATGAAGCACACTTTGGGGACCAATACTCCTTCTAGCAAATGTTGTCTTTCTTAGCTATGTCAATGTATTTAGTTACCCTTATAAGAGAATTTAATTGGAAGTTTTTTTTAAAGGTATATTTGCATATCTCTATCTTATTCATTATATATTGATTTATTATTTAATTTATGACCAACTATTAGAAGAACAATTTTTATTGTTTTCCCGAAATATTGTGATGGCATTATATAGTTCCATATTTTGTGCACTATAGGGAAATGAGATGTTTTGAATAAGCCCCTGCAATGGAAATTTCCAGGCCTAAGCAAGAGTTGTATTATTAGTAATTAGGAAAAAAGTGGCTATAAAATCTTCCAGATATTTCATGAAGTATCTTTGGAAATCCTAAGGCTGTGAAGTAAGCCAAGGAAAAGCCAATGTTGAGTTAGGATTATGTTTATTTGTGTAATAAATATGACTGAGAATCTATAAATACCAGACACTTTGTGAAGTATTTGAATGTAGCAATGTAAAAAGAAGGTCTCTACCTTAGGTAACTCAGAATCGAGTTGGAATAAATAAGCAACTACATAAGAGTTGTTGTTATTACATAACAATGAATGTTGTAATAAGGGCAGCAGAAAGATATCATAGAAAACAAAGGAGAGAACACAATCCAGGTATCTTGCCTCTAGATAAGGGTCCTTTGTCATGTTTTCATAGAATAGTATACTCTCCAAGGCATAGTACTCACCCACAGTGGATGGAGATTTCCACCCAGCACATACTGCAGTGTCTCCTGCTATGCCGTATGACAAAGGCCAAGTGCAGAAAGGCTGTTACCCTCCTGCTTACTGGTTTTGTGGATGGGACTTAGCCTATTGCCTAAATAGGCTTTTTTTTCCCTCATAATACAGTAATGCAAGATGCTTTATAATTTGTTCTCTAGTGATAAATCTAAGGTTTTCCTAATAGCATCATTAAGAACTTTTTCCATTCAAAGTTTGAGTGTAGAATTGTTGGTTTCCCATATGTATCATTTTCTGAGTCTGCTAGTTTCCTTAATTATAAGCCTTATTCTCTCTTTAATTTTCAGGTCATAATATAAGGATAATCCACGTGGTTATCACCAGTGATTCACAAGGATGTAATTGGGAATAATCAGTGATACGGACACTAACTAGACATGAATTCACTCTACAGAATTCTAGGTATCAGTAGATGACCCATCACGTCAACACTGCAAACCCCTTAGCCACTCCCACGGGACAGAACCCAATCCAGAGGTGTTTCTTCATTGCACCTCTGGGAGATCTTCCTGTGGATCCTAGTTTCCTTAGAGAGTTATGCTACAATTTAAGAATAATTACCTTAAAATTCCAGGAAAAAGACTTATCAATTTGAAAATGTATGTCCCAGAAGGTGGCTAATAATTGTGTGTATAATTAAAAGAGAAGTTCCAAGTCACAACTAGATTCTTCCTAAACCTTAGCTCTTAATAGCACATGCTGTTACACAATGATGGCTCACACCATGAAATTTGTCTAACAAATGACACCCAGGACTATTGCTTTCTTTCTTTTTTTCTTTGGTTTTTTTTTTCATCTTCACATGGAAGTCTTGCCTTCCTGCCTTCCTTCCTCTATGAAGTACATCTCTCTGTATCTACCAGTGTTCAGTACATGAACAGAGCGTAAGAAAGCCCTGTCCATATGTTCAGATGTTGAGCCCCCTAAATTATCCCTAGAAAGCTGCTAATCAAGAAAAACTCAATGTATTAAGATTTACTGCATTAAGGGAAAACACCATCTTTTTTTAGACCTTAATAAGTAATTTATTTTTAGAAGGGTCAATTGGCTAATTTGCTCAGCCTTAGTAATAATGTGTTATGATTTAAGACTTGGTGTCTTTTTAAAAGAATAAATTTTATTGTATATATTTAGGAATACAACATGATGTTATGGAATACATGCAGATAGTAAAAAGGTTATTATAATGAAGCAATTTAACATATTCATCATCTCACAGTTACCCATTTTTTTGTTTGTTTCTGTGACTAGAGCATCTAAAATCTACTCATTTAGTATGGACCCCATCTGTAGTAAAATTTTATAACCCATAGCCCTCCTGATATGTATTAGGTCTCTAGACTTGTTCATCTTACAGAATCTGCTGCTTTGTATCCTCTGACCTGTATCTCCTCATTTCCTGCCCAACCCCCACCCTATCCTGTAACCATAGTTTTCTATCTCTGTATATCTGAATTTTTTTCAGATTTCACATTTAAGTGAAATCATGCAATTTTCTTTCTGTGTCTGGTTTACTCCACTAAGCATAATATCCTCCAGGCTCATCCATGATATGGCAAATGGCAAGATCTTATATTTTTTAGGACTGTATAATATTCTGTTGCTATCTATCTATCTATCTATCTATCATCTATCTATCTATCTATATCGGTAAAACAGTTTATACATGTAGATAGGCATTGAGGAAGTTTCCACATCTTGCCTATTGTGAATAATCCTGCAATAAACATGGGAGGGCATATGTCTTTACAAGGTGGTGATTTAATTTCCTTTGGGTATATGCTCAGAACAGAAGAGGAATTGCTGAGTCACATGGTAGGGAACACCATCTTGATTGAGTCCCAGCAATACCTGCAATGGGGGTATCAGAATTCGAATATCTGTAGGGCTTAGGGGTCTGTGTTCAAGTGGTTTAAGGCAGGTATTTTTCTCATGAACTAGTTGCGAAGGCAAGTCAAGAAAATCCTTGACTTGGGTTGGACATACTTCACCAGTTCAGAAGGAAACAAGATCTTTCAGAAAAGAGTGGCACAACACCAGTGTAACTTAAGTGAGGACTTAGAGAATGGATAGAATGTGTTTAATGGAGAGGGTGGAGTAAAGCAGCTTGAGTTCATAGCTTCAGGAAAAGTATGGAGGTTAAAATACTGCTGACACACTCATGCACTTCTAAGGTGATTTATCTGTATTAAGCATAGGTTAAATTTGGGAAATTATGTTAAATGAGATTGAGTCATTGACAAATAATATAATAGAAGGTCTCAAATTCTAAAGAAGTCAGTTTGAATTGGTGAGGCCGGCAATGAGTACTTGCAAATTTATGTCACTTGAAATTTGTCTCACTTAGGAAGCTGAGTCTAGAATAATGGAGATGACTGGGAAAGTCCAAGGGAAAAATCTGCACCAGGTCTAAAATAACTATAGCAACTACTGACAAGTTCAGAGGATAAGAGTAATAGGATATGAATAATATTTTGGAAGTTGATTAATGTGACAGTAGAAGGAATTAATGAGTCAATACTTACAAGGTGTTTAAAAGAGTACCTGGCACACAGCATGAATAAAAACAATAACAATAATAGTAATAGTAATTTATTTTTGGAAAAGGCACAATAATGGTGCAGGGAGAACAGTTAGTAGGCCATTCATTGCATTAATGTAGATATAAATTACTGATGCTTGCTGTAGGCATTAGGCAATAAAGTCAACCAAGCACCAAGACAAGATAAATCAGCAAGACAAAGAATACATTGCACCATGAGAAAAACACGGTGCAACATATTCTTTGCCCACCACAACATTTACTGTTAGCCATAGGCCTTGCTACTCAATACAGGACCTAGCAGCAACAGGGACTTCACCTGTGAGCTTGTTAAACATGCAGAATCTCAGGCCCCACTCACACCTGCAAAATCAGAATCTGCATCTTAAGAATTTCTAGGTGATTCTTTGTCTGATTAATGAAGGATGTACTTTCAAATTCAAATGTAGCTTGGAAAAAATATTTTTCTTCATAGAAAGTTGATTGGTTTCATTTATTTGAGATATTGGATACATAGTGCCCTAACCCTTGACATTTCCTAAGCAATTTCAGAAAAGATAATCTCACACCTCTCTTCCTTTCTATTAATAAGAGCATTCAAAAACACTAATTGCAAATCTAATATTCTTCAAAATCTAAACTTCCTGTATTTATTTTCTCACTTATATACATACATATATGTATGTGTATATATATATGTATGTATGTATATATATGTATGTGTATATATGTATGTTTATATATATGTGTGTATATATGTGTGTGTGTTTGTATATATATATAGTTTTTTTGTTTTTTTTTTTGAGACAGAGTCTCACTCTGTTGCCAGGCTGAAGTGCAGTGGTGCAATCTCGGCTCACTGCAACCTCCACCTCCTGGATTTAAGTGATTTCTCAGCATCCCAAGTAGCTGGGACAACAGGCATGTGCCACCACACCCAGCTATTTTTTTCTTTTTTGTATTTTTGGTAGAGCTGGGGTTTCACCACATTGACCAGGATGGTCTAGATCTCTTGACCTCATGATCCGCCTGCCTCAGCCTCCCAAAGTGCTGGGATTACAGGCGTGAGCCACTGCACCTGGCCTATTCAATATATTTTTAAACTATTCAGAATAGTTTCCCAACAGGTAATCTGTTCAACACATTTTTACTCTCAGGACTTTTTGAGAATTTGATAAAAATCTATAAATTTCCTTTACAGAAAAATGCACATAATCATATGCTAGCAATTTTTTTCACACAACTTATTTTTGCATTGGGAATATATTTCCTTCACATATATTGGCCATAATAATTTTCACAAATATTATACTTCTCATTTTTCATGCAAAAATAAATGCCTTCTTCCTCAAATAGGGTGAATAAACCCAAGCTGTACAAAATAAACAGAATATAACCCATTCTGTGGTTCAGAAGTAAATTTCAATGAGATGTCAACTTTGACATCCGGCTGATTCTGACTTTTTGTTTTGATACCAACAAATACTGAAAGCTCTGACTCACAAAGATGAGGATAAGCAAAGAGTATCAGAGTTCTCATGGCTCACACTGCAGATAGAAGTAGGCTTTCTTCAAGGAATAAGAAAATTCCTTAAAATCCTTCAGGTTGAATTCATGTGCCAGCATTTTCTTTCTTTGTCCTCAAGCCAACTAGGTAACTTTGGCAAGGTCTATACTATTGATGTTACCTATATTTATTACCTCTGTATTACCTGGATACATCATTACAATGTATTACCTGGATTTATTACCTCTGTAAATCTATCTAAACTTTGAAATTATTTAACAGAATGTAACCTCTGAAAGTTGTTTTTAAACATAGCTGACTTCTGATCGCAGAGTGATTAAAGAAAAAAAAAAAAGACTTCTCTACCCTTACCTATAGCCAACAGAAGTTCTTCCTCAAATATTTGAAATCTTATAGCCTCTCCTTCCAGAGTGGAAACATAACTTCTCTAAGAAAGATCATAGTTTTGTTTTATATTTTTATATTTTGCTTCCTTCCCTACTTCACTGCTGTGGCCATTACAATGATTTCCAGGTTGCATACTGAAATTTTTGCTTTACTCACAGGGTCAAGTAGGCCTTAAGAGATGGATTTTTTTTTTTTCTCAGAGAGAGAGAGAGAAAAAAAAAGGCAAATGTACTTGAAACTCATTAAAATGTTTTCAGAATTTTCCTATTAAGCCAAATATCTGTACAGTAATAATATTCACATTCGACTCTAATTTCTTGAAAGTTATCTTAAATGGTGATGATTTAAGGTCTGAGGCCCATAAAGAGAATGGTTTGTGTGGCAATAACCCAAGATTTGTGTAAATAAAACTATGTGGCTCTAGAAAATAATGAATAACAATAAATTTTCTTCACTAAAGCACCAAAATCATGTTCTACACATAAATTATTGCATTTTCTGAAAATAGGTGGCCATCTAGGATATCTCAGCTTAATTTAGAAGAATCCACTTGGATGGGAAAACTACAGTGTCACATGGTATCCAGCAGGCTGCCAGGGGGGGTCAGGAAATGCCCCTTCTTGCTTGACTCAGAGATAAAGTCCTTCAGTACTTGTGAGAGCCTACCTCTCCCTACCTCTGTCTCCTCTCATTTCCCTCAATTTTAAACTTCATCATATCACCTCACTGTAGAAGAGGATTTTCATGCTATTTTGTTTGGTTCCTTTTGGCTGTGAGATTTAAATAAATTGTCTAAAATTTACTTAGAGGTGGTAGTGGGCCTTGTCAAGGTCATGGAAGAGGCACACTAGAGCAACTTGGTAAAACAACAGAAAGAACAGGGAAGGTCACATGGTAGAGGGCTGCAGATAAAATAATTCTGCTCATTTGTGTTCTTGGGTATCCTCATAATAATAGTAGCTGTTGCAATATTACTTCTCCATGGAGTAATACGATTTTATATTCAACAGTCTTCCTTGTCCAAGAAACCTCTTACTCAATGTCAGTCATTGTTAATCTCCAAAGCAGTTCACTAAATAGAAAATCATCCATGATTTATTGAGTCTATTTTGTTTATTTTATTGTGTGACTTTTAAATGATTATCCATTGCCAGATGCTGTGCTAAGCATTGAACACACATTATCTCATTTAATACTTAACAATGATTCTTAATGTAGGCACTATTATTATTGTGAATTTCATAAATGAAGAAAATGCAGTTCTGAAAAATTAAGTAATGTGCAGCCTGAAGCAGGATTTCGTTCTAGATTTATTTCACTTTATAATCATTGTTCTTATCTGCTATACCTCCCATGGAAAATCTATAAGCATACGTCAGACCAAAACCAGGACCTAGCTACCTGTACCAGAAAATCCTGTGATTATATTCAATATAAAATATTTTTCAGGCCGGGCGCTGTGGCTCATGCCTATAATTCCAGCACTTTGGGAGGCCGAGGCAGGCAGATTACGAGGTCAAGAGTTCGAGACCATCCTGGCCAACCAACATGGTGAAACCCCATCTCTACTGAAAATATAAAAATTAGCTGGGCATAGTGGCGTATGCCTGTAGTCCCAGCTACTCAGGAAGCTGAGGCAGAGGAATCTCTTGAACTCGGGAGTTGGAGGCTGCAGTGAGCCAAGATTGTGCCACTGCACTCTAGCCCGGGTGACAGAGCGAGACTCCGTCTCAAAAAAAAAAAAAAAAAAAAAAAAAAAATATATATATATATATATATATATATATATATATGTATCAACAAAACTAATATCATTACTCTAAAGTATCTGCTGTCTATAAGACTTCTTCAGACTATTTAATTATCATTTAAAACCCCAATGAACAAACAGCTATTCATGCTATAGTTGCCCATATGAAAAATAGCTAGACAATATATCATTGCCTGTGATTTAAAATATCTGTGTTTGTAATTTCCAGCCTAGAATTTACATTGTTTGTGTTTTCTATACACAGAATTTTATTATGTATGATTCAGAGTAGTTCCAGAAAAAATAAAAGACTTCTCTACTCTTGCCTATAGTCAATGGAAGTGCTTTCTCAAATATTTGAGATTATATAGAGTCTTTCCTTCCAGAGTGGAAACGTAACTTGTTGAAGAAAGATCATAGTTTTCTATATTTTTATATTTTGCTTCCTGCCCTGCTTCACTGCTGTAGCCATTATAATGATTCCTTCCTCTTGGTTGAAAGTCACAGCAGCCTCTCATTGGGTCTTACTTTCAGCTGCTCTAGAGATAAGTGGCATTTTTTTTAGGGCCTCCAAAACACTTGAACATCATGAATGCCACACAGTTTATATTTTAGGCCAGACCACCCTAAACACATCCTCCAAATATGATGCCAACTTATACAGCTTTTTTGGTCTGTAACAGTATTAGATGAAAAATAATAACTTTATGTGCATAGTTACTAAGTACCCTTTAGATATTTAAAATCAGCAGTTTTAAAAACCAAAATTCACCATCCTGCACTCTGCACAAAACCATCCAAGTTCTGTGTCAGCTTCGACTCTGTATGACAGATTAGCCAAATAATGCCCTATTCCTCTTCAACAGGCAGAAATCAGATAGTTGGGTAGGAATTTTAGATAATGATTCTATTAATACAGAGGCAAATTTACCTCCCTACCTAGAGCATAAATATTTCATTAAGAAATCACGTCTTCTGTAAAATTGAGATAATCCAGAAAAAATGTTGTCTGGAAGAGGCATCCTTCTGTATTTAGTTATAAACCTGCCCAATAAGGAGACTCAGGTAATATGATTTTCCTGGAGTACACATTTGACATGTTTATTTTCTCACCCAAATCACAGAAACTTGCCTTGATGAAGGAAGGGTATTTTTTTTTCTAACGGGTTTTTCTATCAAAATTCTTTTACCACTTTCTAATTTTTCATTGCTTCAATAAGTTCCTCATGCCCTCCTAGGGAAAATCCAGCCAAGCTTGTTAGTTGACGTCAGAGACTTCAATACAAATCCTCCTTTTGTCCACAGAAGACATGGTGGACCCGGAGCACCAGAGCTAGGTCCACGCATTCAATCTGTTTACCAAAGACGGTCATTATTCTGTAATTCTCTCTGCTGATTTTGTGTGGGAACAAAGCCTTTTGGCTTCCTGATGCTAATGAGCTTAGGGCATTTCTCTTGTTTCGGGTCCAAGGCAGGGATTTTTCTTATTTTCCTTTCCTGTCGCTTCAGGTGAGCTAATCAGCTCTGAGCAGTCATTGCTTTTGTAGCCTGTGAGTTTCCAGCTTCTCTCCTTAGTGTTTCCATCTTTAGCCAGGTCCCTTTTCTTTCTCAACTCATTTTTGGCTCGTATATCCTTTGTATTTGGCCTTCCATGTGGATGCCTGATAGCTTTCCTCCTGGAAACCGCTCTGTGGGGATTTCTCTTTGTTTTCTGAACATGACTTTTAATTACACTTGGATTATTTGGCCATCAGCTGCTATGCAAAGCCTGAGTTAGTGCCATCTAACGGCATTAGAACAGGGGGTGGCTACTGGCCAGAAGGGCAGCCTTTGCTCCTCAGTCTGGAATGGGCCATCTGTAAGAGCAGGGGCTGTGGAGAGGATCTCTCCTACACCTGATCCCGCTCTGCCCATAGCATATGACTCCCCACCTCCAACACACGCTGGGCTTGGCAACGACAGACTTTAAAATATTTAAATGGTTTTATTTTGTTTCCTCCCTTCACTGTACTGCCTCCATTTTTAAACATTTTAGAGAAATGCCAACATGTGATTTTAAATGGTAATTTAAATTTATGATAGATTTTTGGTGAATGGGGAAACTGTTGTGTTTTATTAATTGTTTTATTCATGCGATTCATTGATATCTAGATGTGACGTGGCCTTAAAGTAAATCTCTCAAGTAGTCTTTGTGATTTTACTGAGTATTTTCACTGGAGTCTTGTCTCAATCATCCTAAAAGGTTTTTTGAATTTTTGTGTACTCCTGAGAGTTCTTATATCCTAGCACATTAGCTTGATAACAATAGATATTTAAAAGATATTTGTTAGCTGGTCAATGATCAAGCTTATTGAGGGCAACACATGAAACAGTATGACTCTAATAAACTCACTTGTAAAATAGACGGTCACGGTCTTCAGAAAATATTTCTTTTAAAAAATTAATGTTGTACCTTATCAATATTTCAATACATTTTTCACTTCAGTTTTTATTTGGTAAAACTCAAGAGTGGCCTATTCCTTAGTACAGAATTACAAAGGAAATTATCAAACTATCAAAACCTGCCATTTTACGATTACATGTAGCTTTCAGAATTATAGTCTAAATATATTTTTAGTTGACAAGACATAGTTTGTTTTCTTTTGAAATACCTCTGTGTCACTTAGAACCAGGTTTTAATGCATTACTTACTTTATGGAAACATTTATTTCTAGTTACTATTACAATAAATTGTATACGAAGAGGAAAATATATGTAAATGTGGCTAGATTTTTAAAAAGTCCTTTCAGAATGCATTTTGTAAATGTAACATAAGTTCTTACTCAGTTAATTATATAAGATGACAATTTATTTCTCTAGTATTTCAAAAGATACCAGGGCCCCTTAGGAAATCCATACTCACCAAACAAAAGCAGTACGATGTCACAATCCTGGAATAGATAGCACATATAACAAGGAGAAGTAAAGGCAAACACATTTCTTTGATTTCCCTGTGGGCCAGAGACACTTCTGGTCATGGTATTTAAAAGGAGAAACCCAGTGGAAAATGTTTTTCTTTCAAAACTCAAATATCTAATACTAACATTTATCTGGACCTGAATTCACCTTTGCAAGCTACAACTGACTGAGCTTATAAACTTGAAAGTTGCCAAACAGATGCAAGGTGATTTCTGCCTGCCCACCCCTTCCCTCTGTGTCTCTCTCGGTAGTCTATGTCAAGATCTTTTGTTATATGGAACCTAACGTGCCAGAGAAGCCAAAATGATTGTCTATCTTAGTGCTAATATTTCGGCTAGAAGAGAAAAGAGTCCTGCAATTACATAGACAAATATCAGTTTCGTCACTGGAAACATACAAATAAAACCTCTCTTGCACTCGTGTCATTATAACCCTATTATGTGCAATGAGCCAGGCTGGCCTTCTTTGCTAGCTCATTCTGCAAACTGGTATTGAGTGCCCAAATCAGATACTAGAAACTGATGAGAGAGAAGTGGATACAATGTATTCTCTCCTCTCAAGGTTTTCGTTGTCGGGGGATAAACACAAATATTTTTGAAATGTTGTGGAAATGAATAAATAGCAGTAGGTTTAGAGAATAAAGGAAATGCAGTGAAACCGGCTGTCAGTATCAATCAGAACTAATTTTCTAATCATTACCAAGGGAAAACCATGCTCATTTTAATTTCAAATGATAAGGAGGAATAAGTCCTGTGCAGTTTGTTTATATGGAGTGGGAGAGGGGAAGGTCAAAGACAAAGAGAAGATCAGGAGCAAAGACGCAAAACCTAAAAACCACGCTCTGTATTTAGCAACAAGCAAGAATATTGTTGTTGCTGGAGCCTAAACTATAAAACAAGTGCTGAGAGATGTCACTAGATAGATAGGGCTGGTAATGAAGAGCTTCGTAAACCACTGTAAACATCACCCTGAAGGTGATTTTGAGTAAATAAAGGCCTTCAATGAGGGTAATGACTAATCAAACTTGTGTTTTAGGAATAATTCTTTAGTGGTTACACAGAGAGTGGTTTGGCTGATGCAAAAAGATCGGAGGAGGTAAGACCCTTTAGGAGGCAGTTGTCAGAATCCAGGCATAACGAAGATGGTAGGTGTAAAAGAGAGAAAAAGTAGAGATGAAGAGATAAAATGGAAAGCTTCTTTGGAAGAAAACCAACAGAAAATAATGTACTTTCATAAGGGCATTTATCAAAGGAGACGGCAGAATGAAGTTTGAGCTCCAGGTTTGAATCATGAGGTCTGAATAGATTTTAGTGATAAAGATACAATGTGTTTGTTAAAGTTAAGTGCCTCATTTTTATATCTCTGTCCAAATATTAATAACTGGTATGTAGCAGATGGAGTATTTTATTAAAAGGTGAAACTTGGGCTAGGACTTAAGGGATGAAAATAGTGTTAATTCATGAAGACCAGAAAGTAGACCAGCGTAGTTAGACCCAGTTAGCTGGAGATTGGGACCCACGTGCGGTCATGGCAAGAGAGTACAGGAGTGGTGATATTGAATAAAAACCCATAGAAAGGCAACTGGTTTTTACTCTAAAGATAAGAAAGTGTTCGTTATGTATGTTTTCATGTTTTTTTCCTAATAGCAAAGGGAAAACTTTGGAAGAGAAGTACTTTAGGGAAACTGATCTTGTGTAATGTCTAGGAGAGACTGGAGGGATAGGAGAATAGAGGGAGGGAGTTCAGTGAGAAGGCTATTATCAAGTCATAAAAACATAAGACAAGGGATAATTGGGCTTAAATGTAGGGGTTGCAATTGAAATAGAAATGACTGGTAGAGAGAGCTAGCAGGAGAACTTGTGTTTATAGGTTTAGTGGTTAAAATGGAGCAATTTATTTGTGTTTGGCGGGGGTGAAGGAAGTGCAATTTCTTCTATATCATTCAAACTGTACTTTGGTGGTGCTACGGAGGGTTAGCATTTCCACAATAAGGCCCAAAGGTGAACCAAATGTAGACTGCATTCCAATACCAGAAGCACCAATTGCTCCCTGGCAGGAAAGATTGGCTACCCGGGCTTGCAGGATTCTTGAAAACTCCTAACCCAGAAGATTCGATTGTGGTTAAAACGCCTTTCTATACCAGTTTTATCTTTTTACTCCATTTGTTTTACTTGTGAAAACGATAGTATAATACCAATAATGGGGCTTTTAAAAAAGAAAAGCAACTCTTCCCAAACCTTACTTTATAAGAAGTATTATTATTTATATTTTCTTTCAGTTTTTTTCTGTTCACATACATATTTTTAAAAAGTTCTATACCTATTTTACATACAAGTTCTCTTTCTACTTTCTCATTTATATATGCATGCTACAGGGTTTCATATTGCTGCAGTCATTAAATTACGATTCCCATTGTCTGTATACCATTCAATATATCAATATCATTATATTCACAGCCATTCTCTCATTGATAAATACTTTAGTTGCATGCTAAAATGCCTGCATGATAGACAATGTAATAGCAGGCATCTCTATATGCATATCCTTTCTTTTAGAACACCTATTCAATAGAAAGAAAATGCAAGGCACAAATATGAGCCACATACCTCATGATAAATTTCCTTTAATATCCTACTGTTCATAGCCACATTAAAAAAGTAAAAAGAGGCCAGGTGCGGTGCCTCACATCTGTGATCCCAGCACTTTGGGAAGCTGAGGAGGGAAGATCACCTGAGGTCAGAAGTTCAAGACCAGCCTGGCCAACGTAGTGAGACCCCATCTCTACAAAAATACAAAAATTAGCCAGGCATGATGGTGGGTGCCTGCAATCCCAGCTACTTGGGAGGTTGAGGTGGGAGAATCGCTTGAACCTGGAAGGCAGAGGTTGCAGTGAGCCGAGATTGCACCATTGCACTCCAGCCTGAGTGGCAGAGTGAGACTCCATCTCAAAAGAAAAAAAATAAAAAGTGAAAAGAGACAGGCAAAGTTAATTCTTATGACATATTTTATATAATATATATTCAAAATGTTTTATTTCCACTGTGATCAAAGTAAAAATCATTAATGATATATTTCACATTTTTTATATTGTCATTAAAATGAGGTATTTACACTAATAGCACATGTCAACGTAGGCTAATCACATTTCATGTGCTCTATGTGGCTTGTGGCTACCGTGTTGGGCAACAGTTTTGGTGTATTTCCTGAAGAGAAGTTCATAGTCATGGGATTACTAGTTTAAAAGTTGAACAATTTCAAGACTTTTGCTTTCATATTTATTAATTTTTCCAAAAAAGTCAATAACCTTAAGCTGCATTTTTAAAGCTAATTAATTAAATACTTACTATGTATTGATCCTGAGCCACATGCCACAGAGAAAGTCTTATAAAACAAAATTTTGCCACCCTAATCCAATATTGAGTGGCAAGGAAGATTGAGATGCAATTACCTTACTTTAGAATCAAATTCAACTTAGCTTTATATCATTGAAGTCAGTAAATAAATTTACTAATTTTAAAAGTCACATATATAAACAGAAAGGTTTAAAAATGTATTCATAGTTGTTTAAATTACTTTTATATGAACTCATCTTCATAATTAATTTACAGTAAATACCACATAACCGTAATTTTTAAAATAAAACTGGGTCTATACAAACATAATCAGAGAAAAATTGTTCAGTGTGGCCAATCCAGATAATTCCATCCCACCCCAAACAAAACACATGCCTTTCTCCTGCCCCTACAGATGACTGATGTCTATAATTCCCTCACCAGCAAATATCACTTTACTCAGGTAGATATATTCAAGCTTCACATATCTGGGTCTGTTCCACTCCGCAGGGGTGAATTGCAAATTCTATCATAGCAGCTTCCGCTTGAATTTTCAGCTGTAATTGTTCACATTCTTGCAGTACTTATGCTACGAGGGCAACAGCATCAACAAAAAGAAGCATTTGCAGTTTCTCTCCATCTACTGGGAAGCCGCCTTCCTAATCAATTCTCCTCAGCAAATGCTCCAGGACAGTGGAAAATTCCTTGGGCGAGAGATAATACCACCCAAGGGAAAATGCATTTATAATTGATGTGGTAAAAAGCTGTCAGAGAGACATGGGTTTTCTCAACCATTTTTGTAAACACAGTTAGCAGCCCTGCCTACAACGGCAGAAGTCTACAATCTCTCTACCTCTGGGTAGAAAATTGTATGCAGCAAGAAAAAGCCTGTGTACCAGATCTTGTGGTTATGTTTACTGAAGTCTCTCAAAACTGAACAATCAATGTAGATACTCTTGGCTTATGTCTACCTAACCGTAATTTTTTATTAAATGACATTTAATAAACTGCTTGATTTACTGCTGAGCACATTGCTAAGGATGAGAGAAAGAAGATGGAAAGAATATGAGAGGAGTTCTATCAAAAATTGAGGTTGCTTACTCTTAAATGGTCTTAGAAGTCATCAGGGAAGGGAAAAGATTTCCCTATAGACTCAGGTTATAAAAGATTTCAGAGAATCGTGCATTGCAAAAAGCGAAGTATATCCTGCAACTGGCAGAGTTTGGCAGAGCTAACACGTTTAATTATTTTAGCTTTCAGGTGTGAAGATTGCAACTATGTACAAAGAATAATGCTTTATTCTTACCTCGCTTGTGGTTGTTTTCAGGCAACTATAAAAAATTCATTTTATTGCATTTGCATAATCTCAAAAGTCAGGCAAAATGACACGTGTACTGTAGAACTGGGAAAAAGCTTAAGTAGAATTCACGGTGGTTTTCATCTTTCCCAAGGCATCAGATTTGGAATGATTGTGTTCTTCTACATCTGTGAGTATAATAATAATTAACACACACACCCATCACACAATATTTAAGGTCATTCTTGATTTTTGAATCCTGGTTCTGTGCTCATATTTTGATTTTAAGAAAATAATTTAAGAAGTAGATCCTCCACTGCCTACCTGATAAATGGGGCTAATTTTAAATACTTTTCAAAGCTGTGAGAAATTTAACAATGATATGCAAGTGGATAAAGTTCTTCACCTAGAGTAGGCATTTAATACATAGTGGCATTAAAACAATATTGTCTTGTCGGTGAATTGCAGGAAGAATCATTGCAACTGATTTGCAGTGGTTCCTTGTAATTTAACTGTAGAATTTGAGGGATTTATTGTAGGATTTCAATGAAATGTCTCATCAGCCACCTTGAGTAATTTTATGGGAGTTTCCTTTCCAAAGTCCCTTTCTAGATTAAAATTCAAGCTCACTATTGGTTTTAGTTTGAACTAAGGACTGGTTGAGCCTTTGACGTGTCCAGTTGGGATTTTGACTTTCAGCTCTAGCTATTACTCACTTGTCTCTTGTTTTTAATTCTGTTCTCTGCTTAATTATTCTTAAATTTGTTCCTATCTCTCCTGTTTAAATGCAAAACAGGTAGCGGTAGAACCCAGAAGATTTTAAGAAAACCACTGCCCAAAGGGAAACTTTCCTTTTTCTTGGTTAACTCTGCCCACGTTTCTTTCTAAAATAGATCTGATGATCTTTCTCTCCTGGCAAAGGAAGAAGCCGTTACTTTACTCTTGACTTCGGCTGGCAAGGAGAAATCGGAGGCCTATCTCAGAGTTGAAAGACAGTTGTTTGGCTACATTTGGAGACACACAGAGTCAGAGACAACATAGTGTACTGTTAAGAGAACATATTGTGGAACCACACAGCCAGGATCTGAACGCTACTCTGTGACTCACTAGTTGTATAATCTTAAGCAAGGCACTTAATATTGTTGTGCCTCAGTTTCCTGTCTTGTAATGATTGGGGTTCAGACAGTCAGACAGTATACTAAAAAGGGGCAATGTAAGAGATTTTAGTAAAAGGAATATTCACAAACTCGTGAGCAGGCTTAAGAAAAACTAATAACGAACAGTAAAGTACTTTGATAATAAAAACATCTTAGCCTGCCTAGGTCTAAAGAGGCAAGGGGAGAGGGTAGTGAATAGAATCTCAGGAGAGTTGTAACTGTAGGAGTGGGCTAGCTATGGAATTGAGGACTTTGGCAGAGAAAAGTATGTATTGTCAAAGTGCAGCTGGCAGAAAGGCAGCTAATGAAGTAAAATATTGACTTTTCTCTCCTCTATATACTGTTGGTGTCTCCTACAGGCTGAACTCAATGATGAGTCAGAGAACCAAGAAGACTGGTTGATGAGGTCAGGCTCCAGGGGGCGCTGAAACAGGTGAAGAATGGGGGAGATGGGAATATTCAGCACAGTACTAGTACCTGCCTAATGGAGTTCTTAATGAAAATTCAATGAGTTAATATTTTTAAAGCACTAGGAATTGTACCTAGTGTATAGTAAGCATTATATGAAGCTTTTTTTTTACAGAAGTTGTTTACTATTACAATAATGATCATCTCCATAAGTTGTCAGACTCAGAGACAGCTCAAGATTCTACAAGAACTTGATTGTCTTACCTTTAGAAGGGTTTAGGATATCTGTAATGAGGTTTAGAAATAAGAAACTAGCGTTTCTTATTTAAGAAACTCAGATACCAGGATGTGTCACTAGACTTTAGGAAGAAATAGGGTGCTTGTTAGGTCAGACATTTCAGCAGGACTACATAGGCTATTTTAGCTTGATTACTCTTTGTTTAATAGAGAATACTCACCTTAAAAGATAAAACTACAGTCTGGATGGGTGGAAGAAGAACAGAACAGACATATAGAAATTGCCAGGCTTGTCTCCTCAGGTTAAAAGGAGAGCAGGATCTTAGTGGAGGAGATTGGTCAACATTAATTAACATGTTGTCACTGAGAGGTATGAGAGTAACTCATGTCTATATGAATGAATGAGTTTTAGTTAGGCATGTAGTTTTATTCAGGCAATATTCTATGTGTGTCAGATGTACATCAATACCTCAGACACAGTCCCAGACTTTCAGATGTCCTTATTTTGGTGGGTAACAAACAAAGATAGAAAACTAACCATGCAAGGCAGGAATAATAAGGCAGACGTGCTCCAAATTAGTGCTAATGATAAGAAGTGCTACATGATTTTGACAGCTTGAGTGTCTATTCAGAGCAATGAAGTTGAAGAAAGACTTCATAGAAGATGCAGATTTGGGCAGGGCCTTGGGTTGAAGATGGTTTTTATAGGCAGAAAAGAGATAGGAAGGAAATTTATGATGATGGTGGAGTTGACAGGTAGAGGGCAATAATTTGTGAAGTCTGGAAAATATGTACAAAGGACCATATACTCCCCTGTACAAGGAAATTAGACTAGCCTGAGAAAAACACTTTATAAAAAGACACAAACTGGGTCTGAAATGGTAACACTGACCCAGAAAATGTAAGATTTTGATCCCAAGGCCAAGGATTGTGTCATTTCCTATTTTCTATTCGGCTAAAGACGTAGCTTGAACAGTTGATTTCCATTTTGGCTTTCAGGTATGGATCCAAACTCATTATTTCTGGACTACCTATATTTTAATCAATGACTAGCACAGAGAAATCCATGCATGCTAACTGGCTTCTATATGCTATGTATTTTCTGATTTGTTGTTTGGAATTTATTGATCCCTCTCAACTTTCTATCTACTCCCTGATAGACAAAGAAGTCAATGTAACTGTATTAGAATTGATCTTGTCTTCAAAAAGCTGACCTCGAGCCAATACTAATGGATTAGGGATATAGAGCCGAGGCTGGACATGAGTGCCTGTCAGTCCTGCATTGGGAATGACATCGTTTGGAGTGATGAAGTGCAAGGCGAGAGAAGGCTGCAA
This sequence comes from Homo sapiens, assembly GCF_000001405.40. Lineage (NCBI taxonomy): Eukaryota > Metazoa > Chordata > Mammalia > Primates > Hominidae > Homo > Homo sapiens. The sequence continues at coordinate 22,373,718 of NC_000002.12, read as the reverse complement.
TCTTGTAGTCAATCCGCTCAGTTAATACCCACTGCACTTAGAGCCTAGGAAGTCAATAAGCATGGGTGAGTGCTCATGCCTTGCTTTTCTCTTTGTGGGAGTTGAAACTATCCCAATTAATAATACGAAACAGCAAAGCAAAACCTTCCAGTGCCCTTTTTTTTTTCTTTTTTCCTGTGAAGGATTATCACAGACTTGCACTGTTACTGCGCTTAGAAGTTGTAGGAGATAGAATAATTCCTAATGAGATTAGATACTACAGTTACAGGAATTCTCACAAAACAAAAAGCCCAAGAGAAAAATGAGGGGGGAAAAAAAAGCAGGCACCACAAAATAGAAAACCTGAATGGGATATAAAAATAGGAAAAGATGCTTAATGTCATTAACACCAGGAGAAATGCAAATTAACTTATATTTGTGTTACCATTTCACACCCACAAAATGAATAAAATTAAAGTCTGAAAGTACCAAGTGCTGGCAAGGTTTTGAAGTGATGAAAACCATCATAAACTGCCGGAGGACTGTAAACTATTACAGCAGTTTTGAAAAGCAGTGTGTTGTTACCAAACAGTTGAAGATGGGTGAATTCTGTGGCCTTTCAATTTAATTTATAGGTATAAACCCAAGAGAAAGTAGTACATGTGTATCAGAAGCTATGTAAAAAAAAGTACATAGCAACATATATATATATAATTTTTTTTTGCAGGGCAAAGTACTAGAAGCAACTGAAAATTTTAGTAATAAAATTGATATATAAATATTGCTACATTCATATGCCACAATAAATATTATATATAGTGAAGTTTAATGGGCTATAGCTATATGAATCAAAATAAATTAATCTCAACAATACCATGTCCATTGAAAAAGTAAATCATAAGTCAACTTATGCATTTTCATTTAAGTAAAATTATAGTAAACCAAACTAAATAATAACATTGTTTTGGGGATAGTTAACGTGATAAAACTATTTTTGAAAAACAACGGAATGATCGATACAAAAATCAAAGGAAGAGGGATACATTCAGAAATGAGCACACTTGGAATATCTTAGATGCTGCTGAGGTTATATTCCTAAAGTTGGAAGAAAGGTAAATGGTGTTTATTTTTTGATTTTATTCATTTATTTATTTTGAGACAGAGTTTCACTCTTTTGCCCAGGTTAGAGTGAAGTGGAGCGAACTTGGCTCACTGCAACCTCTGCCTCCCGGGTTCAAGTGATTCTCCTGCCTCAGCCTCCTGAGTAGCTGGGATTACAGGCGCCCGCCACCATGCCTGGCTAATTTTTGTATTTTTAGTAGAGGCGGGGTTTCCCATGTTGGCCAGGATGGTCTTGAACTCCTGACCTCAGGTGATCTGCCCGCCTAAGCTTCCCAAAGTACTGGGATTACAGGCATGAGCTACCATGTCCGGCCAATGGTGTTTATTTTTACATTAAAATGTGAATGCATTCTTTCTCTTTCACGTAATGTACATATATACATATACACCCATATAAATATATGTCTAGGCACATATATAATGCATATATAAATACATATATACTCACTTTTCTGTTTGATAGATTTAATAATAAAATAAATTTAAAAGAATACCTCTGATATTCTTTACTGTAGTTGAAGAGTAGTCGATTTGGTTTGGGTTTTTATCCAATTGATGAGATACACTTGCACTTATTGCAGTGCAATAAATTGTCCAGTTTCCACACAGAACAAATCAGAAAACAAGTCCTGCCTTCAGTTATCTTCCCACTTCTCTTTATCACATCAAATCTTCCTGGACTTTCCATTCTCACTATCTCTTGAACTCACTGCACCCAGACTTTGTACTCAGTTTTCTACTGACGTTTTTTCCACTTATACCTGTGACTCCCATTTAAAGACTGGGTCATTATTTCTCAGTCTTCTCTTATTTGACATATCAGTTGTAGTTGGTGCAATTTATCACATCATCCTTCTTGAAGCATTTCACCTGGCCTCTGGGACACCTCTCACCAATTCTTTTAATTTTCTGGTCTATATTTGCAGTCTCCTTGGCTGATTTCTCCTCAATTTTGCAACCTGTTAATTTTGAAATGGCCTGGGTTTGGCCACGTAATTGCTTCTCTATCTATATTTACTTTAGATGTCTTCTCAACCAATTGCATTGTTTTAAATTAGCATCTTCACGCTGAAGTCTCTTAAATGTTTCTATCTACCCAAGATCTTTAGGCACCTGCAGATTTATAATCAAGTGCCTACTCAGTCTGTCCACTTGGATGTCTTACAGGTATATATGAAAAGCAATGGAATGACTGACACAAAAATCAAAAAAAGAGGAATACATTCAGAAATGAGCACACTTGGAGTATTTTCTCCAAGATACTTAACATTTTCATAGCAAGCAACCAATTCCCTCCACATCCACTTTGATCTATCCCTTCAGGGTTCCCAACCAAATATGATGCTTGACCTGTTTGAACCAAAAATTTTGGTATCAGTTTTTATTTCTTTTTCTCAGTCCCTCAGCATCAATCCATTCTGTTGGTCTTCACTTCAACATCTATTCCCAAACTTAGCGCTTTCACCATATCCATAGCTACCACCACAGTTCAAGGTTCCACAACCTCCTACCTAAATTATGGCAGTAATCTCTGATTTCTCTACTTTCATACTTGCCTTCTTCAGTTTACTTTTCAAAGAAAGGCTTGAATGAACTACCTGAAAAGAATCAAGTAAGTCTTCTACATACAACTTTTCTAATACTTCCCACCATATATACATTCAAATTCCAGGTCCTAACATGAATTCAATGACCCACATTTGGGCTTCTGGGTAACTCATCCACCACTCTCTACCTCCTCACTCTGCTCCAGCTTCATTGGCTTTTTATCTCTTCCATTGAGCAAGCATGATCCTATGAAGACACTTGTACTTGCTAATGCTTCTGCCTATGATAAGCTTCCCCAGGTATTTTCAGGGCCACCTTCCCCTCTTTGTTCTGGTGTCTTCCTAGATGTTATACAGGGCTATTTAGACCACCTTATTTAACAAAATGCCTCTATCCTCCTACTCTGCTTAATTTTTCCTTAAGGAAATTACCATTCCTTGACATGACATTAAATGCCACATTTTTATTTGTTTCTTATTATTTTTGTCTCCTAGAATATAAGCTCCATGAGAAGACTGTTTTTGTTCATTGCTGTATGTCCAATACCTAAAACAGTAATTACTATATGATAGTCACCCAGTAACTATTTACTGAATGAATGAATCTATGGATAAAGTGAATATGTAGCTTAAAATGTGGTTCCCAACATTTAATATCATTTTTACTCTCAGCTTTTATTTGGGGAGGCTCAACATTTTCTTAGGATTTCTAGCTAAATTTATGTATATTTTTGATAAATATTATTTAATAACTCTCTTGATAAACAATTCTAATAAATTAACATTTAGATGCTGTTTTCTATTGTTGAAATCATACTTTTCTTTTGTTTATTCTTTAAGTTTCTTGTATTTTTTAATGCACGCCAAGTTAATGATTGCAATTTAGCAGGTGCAGATGGAATAATTTCTGATTTTTCACTTGCCACTTAATTAGTTATTCAGTCCTTGCTTATGGCCACTATAAAAGTGTGATATGCATAGCAAAATGCAGAGTGAGCTTGGGAGCCACAGCAACCCATATATATCTCCCTAGATTACACATCATGCCGGCCTTTTTAACCTCAATTATCTTGATGACTAATGATTTGATAGGAGGTAGATGTAAACTATTTTTCCAATTAGTTTCTTTGACAGTTTCATTCTAAAAGAATTAAAATCTTGTTGGAGTTATGGCAAGTCATGCCCATTGCAGACTCCTCCAGAGTCTTTATTCTCTTATAGAGATGCAGTAAAAATGATTCAACAAAGTTGTCACCAGGTAAAGCATATTGTCGACAAGCTTATTTGATAAGAACTATTGAAACACTAAATATTACAACAAACTACAAACGTTTAGTTAAAATCACACATGATTGGCCAGCAACCTCTGGGTAAAGCATCAATTCTAATATGCCTGAGACTCATCTTCCTTTCATTCACTTGCTGCCGCCAGTGGTTGGGGCTGCTTGATGTTGTGTATGATGAATAAATCTCTCCTCCTTAATTCTTTCTTTTTTATTTTTATGTTAAATCTCAATAGTTTGGGGGGAACAGTTGGCATTTGGTTACATGGATGATTTCTTTAGTGGTAATTTCTGAGATTTTGGTGCACCCATCACCCAAACAGTGTACACTGTACCCAATGTGTAGTCTTTTATCCTGCACCCCCTCCCACCCTTCTCCCTGAATCCCCAAAGTCCATTATATTATTCTTAGGCCTTTACAACCTCATAGCTTAGCTCCCACTTATAAGTGAGAACATACAATATTTGGTTTTCCATTCCTGAGTTACTTCACTTAAAATAATGGTCTCCCACGCCTTCCAGGTTGCTGTGAATGCCATTATTTTTGTTCCTTTTTATGGCTGAGTAGTAGTCCATGGTATATATAGCACATTTTCTTTATCCACTCGTTGGTTGATGGACATTTAGGCTGATTCCATGTTTTCACAATGCAATTGTGAATTGTGCTACTATAAATGTGTGTGCAAGTGTCTTTTTCATATAATGACTGCAAACTATGCATCTGACAAAAGACTAATATCTTTCTTAATTCTTTTGATTCTTCTTTGTATCCTGGTGGGAGGATGCTCCACAATCTCACTAAATGACTCTTGAAAATTTTGCTCTTCTCTCTTTCACAGACCCTCTGTTCCCACTTATGTGATTCTACTGTCTTCTTAAGAAGCATTGTTCAGTCTCACTGTAGAGCTCTCACTAATGATATCTCCAAGTGATCTGTCTATATCTCCCCTCCCCTCCCCTCCCCATTCTCTCTCTTTGTTTACATATCAATCTGGTTCCTTCCTAAATGTTACACAGGACTTCTTTGATCATCTTATTTATCACAATGACTCTGTAACTCTCTACCCTCCCACTCTGCTTAATTTTTCTTCAAGGAACCTACCATTCCTTGACATGACATTAAATGCCTTCTTTTTTGTTTGTTTGTTTCTTATTGTGTCTCCTGGAATATATATTGCTATGTATTAGCAATATATATTCTAGGAGACACAAATAATAAGAAACACACAATGACAACATATATATATATATAGGTATTTCAAGGTCTTCTTCATTGAGGCCTCCTCCACAGAGTGTTGTTTGCTTGCTTCTTCATCAACAGAAAAGAATTTCTCTGAAATTTCAGAGCATATTTTTATGTGAGCATCCTGTATTTGACAGTTGATCAAGAATAATGTTGCTTTGTCATGTTAATTTTCTTTACGCACAGATGTGTGTGCATTCTTGTGTGTATACATTCCAGTAAGATAATTGAAGTTCCTTATTACTAGGTGCTATCTTTTAATTCCACCAAGTATTCATGTGATTCATCGTCATAGGTTTATGAATATTTTTCTGCTTTACAACATTAAGTGGCTGCTGTTTGCATTTAACTTCTAAGGTGGGATTTTCCAAGTTTGTTGTTCCCTTTACTTTTGGGGTTTTGCGGGGGCTGAGAAGAGGCAGTGTTCTTTGTTGCATATGGCTCAGTCTGACTTGAATCCATCTAGGGTGAGATTCTATTAACTTGGGAAGCTCTCAGTTGCTTTTGTGACAGCAGAAGATGGCTGTCACCACTCTCGTCATTTTTTGCTTGTCTGCCAAAATATTTACAGGACAAAAGCAGGAAGCCTAGGCTTGATCAGCCACTTAGAGGTCTTAAAAGATAAAACATCAAAAAAAAGCAAGGGGAAGAATGGAATCAATGAATTATCCAATAAGATGGAGAAGCTGCTAACCATCCATCCCTGATGGAAGCCCCCAAAATACGTCGGCCTCCCTTACATCTCAACACTCTGGATTTACAAAGCATTTCTCCAGGATCTCAAATTCCCTCACAGCATCCCTATGAGTAAGAAAAAGCAGATATGGTCCCAATTTGTATATTACCTCTATCAAACAGTGCTTTCTGTCTCAAAAATCTCTTTTCCCATCAGAAACGAGGCTTTTTCCCCTTTTGCCACCTTTCCTTGGGAAGTCCTGCAAGCCCACTGTGGCTTCTGAAAGTTGTCCCTGTTTGGCTCACCTCTCAGACCCTCTCCTGCTGTGTGCTTCTTTTCAGCACCAAATAAGTGTCAGACAATTAGAGATGGGACTGGAGATGTGTAAATTGTACTGTCGCCTCAAAAAATTAGTAATTTTGTGATAATACACTGTCCTTGTAACATGGTTAGAGTTACCACAGTTACCTGCTCCTATTTGTGCTAAAAATCCATGGGTAAGATTGATGAAGATCTGCGTGGTGATTCATTCTCCTTCTTGACATTCTCCGCACATCCCTCCTTTTCCCAGAACTGAGACATTAGCCAGGCTCTGAGAGCTGAACAAAGCCTCCACTTGCGACCCCAGTGCATGCTGACACCTTTCTTATTGTCACAGCCTGGAAGATGTTGCGCTGCTTGTGTTGAACAGGTACAGGAAAAAATAAATAAATAAAAGGGTATGATGCAGTGAAAGGAATAAACTTTACACACCTCTCAGTCCAGCCTTCTTTTATCAATGGCCAATCACTTAATAAGAACTGTTCTTGAGTTCAAAAATCTCAGTTACTGCTTTAACTTAGAAGCTTATAAATATTAACTGAAGATAACCCTGGTGTTTGTCTTTCCCTAATAAGTGAATATGGCAATAATTCCTCCACAGAGTTGCTCTTTGAGGCCTTGGCACTTTCAAGTCCTAACCTTTCCATAGGAAGAATGTATTCATTTCTGAAAGGTCCATCTTCCCATTGATGGATAGGCTACCTACTCACTTGTCTCAGTACCATTCTGGCTATGTTTCTAAGGAACAGGAAGACAGAAGTGGAACTTCAGTTTGCTTTTGAAAGTCCCAGTTAAACCACACATAGTAGCCTGCTGCTATAATTTAGTAATGAAGCAGTCTTATGAGTGGGATTGGTCACAGTGCCATCAACAAATATTTATCTGGGTATGATTTCCTATACCTTTGTGGTAATGGTTACCATAATTATAATAAATAATAAATTATAAATTATAATAAATCTACCACAAACTGACTTTTCCACAATTCCTACAGAGAATTAAAGGTTTAAGAATAGCCAAGGGAATTTTCAGTAAGCAGGGTGAGTGAATCTTGCCCTTTTAAATATTAAGATATTATGTAATTTATTAATTAAAACACTATGGTAATAATGTAAGGGCAACCAATACATAAGCAGAAAGGAAAAGAGAGTTAAGAGGTTGATCCAGGCATTTATAAGGAAATAGTATATGACTTATATAAGGATGTGGGGAAGAAAAGAGACTAAGAACTGACCAAGTATATCTGGGAAGAAAGCCTTCATCCCACATGCCCAATTTTAAACTAATAGAAGACATTCAAATTAATGAAAAGATATTTCTAGTGCCAGAAATGAAGAAGAAACTTAAATCCATGAAGATTAGACATTGGCACCAAGAGGACTATAGGTTCATACTTAAGGATGTCTGCCTATGTTGGTGTGGATGTCAAAGCTGCAGGCACTGTATGAAGGAAGAAGTGGGAACAAGGCTTACTGTATAAATTATAGCCCTTTTGATACTGTAGCATAAAGAAACATTGCCCATTGAGATTTGAACACACTGTAAAAGTAAGTCACATGGCCTAGGCCAAGAATGGAAAATAAGTTACTTGTGTTAAAACAAATGTACTTTTTCTCCAGGATTCAAAACTTGAAAGGACAAGTATAGGATTTGCTTTGGAATCCTATTCTCAAGTAAGATATCTTCTACCAAGAAAAGCTCATGAGAAAAAATTAGAAACATATGAGAATACCATTGGTTTGGGCAAAAAGTAATAGATTCAATTAATAGGAAAATTTACAAGCAAACACCAGAGCTAAAGGAACAACAATAAAGAGAAAATGGAAAAGTATGTTTCTAATTTTTAATAAGATTAAGAAAATAGAGCCTATTAACCAAAAAAGAGGATATTAGGAGCAAAAAATTCAACCAATAACAAATATAGCCATTGAAATGAAAATAGATAAGAGATAAGATCTGATGCATTCACAAAATTGAATAAAAGTGAGACCCAAAAATTCATACAAAGGATAAACAAAAGCAAAATCTGGTTCTTTGAAAGAATAAACAAGACTGATAGACTGCTAGCTGGGTTAACAAAAAACAGAGAATATACAAATATCTGCAATCACAAATGACAAAAGTGAAGTTACAACTGATACCACAGAAATAAAGATCCTCAAAGTTTATTATGAACACATCTATGCATGCAAACTAGAACATCTAAAGGAAATGGATAAACTCCTGGAAACACTCAACCTTTCAAGACTGAATCAAAAAGAAATTAAAACCCTGAACAGACCAATATTGAGTTCTGAAGTTGAATCATTAATAGAAAACCTACCAACCAAAAAGAGCCTCATACTAGATGGATTCACAGCTGAATTCTACCAGCTATACAGGGAAGGTCTGGTATGTATTCTACTGAAACTATTTCCAGAAACTGAGGAGAAGGGACTCCTTTTCAACTCACGGTATGAAGCCAGCATCATTCTGATACAAAAATCAGGAAAAAACACAAGAAGAAAGCTACAAGCCAATATCCCTGATGAACATAGATGCAAAAATTATTGACAAAAATACTAGCAAGCCAAATCCAGCAGGACATCGAAAAGTTAATTCACCGTGATCAAGTGGGCTTTATTCCTGGGATGCGGGATTGGTTCAACATACGCAAATCATCAAGTGTGATTCACCACATAAACAGAATTAAAAACAAAAACCATATGATCATCTCAACAGACACAGAAAAAGCTTTCAATAAAATAAAAAAAAAAGACTCTTCATGATAAAAACCCTCAACAAACCAGGCATTGAAGGAATATACCTCAAAATAATGAGAGCCATCTATGATAAACCCACAGCCAATATCATACTGAATGGGCAAAAGCTAGAAGCATTCCCCGAGAGAACTGGAGGGAGACAAGCATGCTAACTCTCCCCACCCCTATTCAGCATAGCACTGGAAGTCCTAGCCAGAGCAATCAGGCAAGAGAAAGAAATAAAAGGCATTCAAATCGTAAAAGAAAAAGTCAAATTATCTCTCTTCATTGATAATATTATTTTATACCTAGAAAAATCTAAAGACTCAGCCAAAAGGCTTCTAGAATTTTTAAATGACTTCAGTAAAGTTTCAGAATACAAAATCAATGTACAAAAATCAGTAGTATTTCTGTACACCAATAATGTTTAAGCTGAGAGACAAATCAAGAATGCAATTCCATTTACAATAGCCAGAAAAAAAAAAATACCAAGGAATACATCTAACCAAGCAGGTGAAAGATCTCTACAAGGACAACTACAAAACACTGCTGAAAGAAATCATAGATGACACAAACAAATGGAGAAACATGCCATGCTCATGGATTGAAAGAATCAATATTGTTAAAATGACCACACGCCCAAAGCAATATACAGATTCAATGCTATTTCTATCAAACTACCAACATCGCTTTTCACTGAAATAGAAAAAACTATTCTAAAATTCACTGGAAACAAAAATGAGCCTGAATAATAGCTAAAATCATCCTAAGCAAAAAGAACAAAGCCAGAGGCATCACATTACTGAACTTAAAACTATACTAAAAGGCTTCAGTCTGATACAAATATAGGTACATAGACCAATGGAACAGGATAGAAAACCCATAAATGAAGCCACAAACCTACAACCATCTTATCTTCAACAAAGTTGACAAAAACAAGAAATGGGGAAGGGACTCCATTTTCCATAAACGGTGGTGGGATAACTGGATAGCCATGTGCAAGAGAATAAAACTGGACCACTACCTTTCATCATGTACAAAAATTAACTCACAATGGATTAAAGACTTAAATGTAAGATCTAAAACTATAATAATCCTAGAAGAAATCCTAAGAAACACCATTCTGGACATCAACCTTGGAAATTCATGACTAAGTCCTCAAAAGCAATGACAACAAAACATTGACAAGTGGGACCTAATTAAAGTAAAGAGCTTCTGCACAGCAAAAGAAACTATCAACAGATTTAACAGACGACCTACAGAATGGAGAAAATATTCACAAACTGTGCATCCAACAAAAGTCTAATATCCAGAATCTATAAGGAATTTAAACAATTCAACAAGCAAAAAACAACCCTATTAAAAAGTGGGTAAAGGACACGGATAGACTTTTTCCTCCTCTCCGCTCCTCTCCTCCCATCCTCTCCTCTCCTCTCCCCGCCTCCTCTCCTCTCCTCTCCCCTCCCCTCCTCTCCTCTCCTCTTTTCTTTTATTTTCTTTAACGCAGTCTCTCTCTGTGGCCAGGCTGGAGTGCAATGGCACGATCTTGGCTCACGGCAACCTCCAACTCCCTGGTTCAAGCCATTCTCCTGCCTCAGCCTCCCGAGTAGCTGGGATTACAGGCACTCACCACCACGCCCAGCTAATTTTTGTATTTTTAGTAGAGATGGGATTTCACCACATTGGCAGGGATGTTCTCAATCTCCTGACCTTGTGATCTGCCCGCCTCGGCCTCCCAAAGTGCTGGAATTACAGGCGTTAGCCACCGCTCCCGGCCACAGACACTTTACAAAAGGAGACATACATGCAGCCAACAGACGTATTAAAAAATGTTCAGCATCACTAACTGTTACGGAAATGCAAATAAAACCAACCACAATGAGATATCATCTCACATCAGTTATAATGGCTATTATTAAAAAGTCAAAAAATAACCGATGCAGGCGTGGTTGCAGAGAAAAGGGAATGCTTATACACTGCTGGTGGGAATGTGAACTAGTTCAGCCATTGGAGAAAGCAGTTTGGTAATTTCTCAAAGAACTCAAAGCAGAATTACCATTCAACTCAGCAATTCCATAATTGGGTATACTCCCAAAGAAATATAAATCATTTTACCATAGAGACACATGTGCACATATATTCATCGCAGAGCTATTTACAACAAGAAAGATATGGAATCAATCTAGAAGCCTTTCAATAATGGACTAGGTAAAGAATATGTGGTACATATATGCCATAAAATAGTATGCAGCCATAATAAACAAAATCATGTCATTTGCAGCAACATGGATGCAGCTGGAGGTCATTATCCTAAGTGAATTAACACAGGAACAGAAAATCAAATACTGCATGTTCTCGCTTAGAAGTGAGAGCTGGGCATATATTATGTCCATGTGGACAGAAAGATGGGAACAATAGACCTGGGACTACTAGAGGGGAAAGGGTCGAAAAACTATCTATTAGGTACTATGCTCACTACCTGGGTGCAGGATACCCATGTTACAAACCTACACATGTACCCCCCAAGCCTACAATGAATGTTGAAATTTTAAAAAAGAAAGTTAAATTTAAAAAAGAAGAAAAGAAATAACAGCTCAATATGAGTTAAATGGAAATATAGCACAGCTAAAGAAAAAGTTAGTGAACTAGATCATAGATCTGAATCATCGTCAAGAATGTAGCCTAAAATATAAAGAGACAGAAGAAATAAAAAAGAAGTTAGGAGAGACAGAAGATATCTAGGAAGATCCAAAACACTCCTTATAGTTCAAAAACATGAGGTAAATGAGAACTGGGAAGAAGAAATATTTAAAAAGATAACGGCATAAAATTTTCTTATTTACAAAATAGCAAATCAGTGAGGTAAAGATAAACTAATAAATGATGCAGGAATAAAAAGGTCACGCATCACATCCAGCATGGACACATTGTATGCAATTGTGAAAATAACCTGGAACGAGCCTAATGATGAATTATCAGGACACTAAGTTTAATTAATAAAATGTAACAGTCTCACAGTACTTTAGAGCATTTGAAATAAATAAATTTTATTCCTTCTTTCCTTTCTTCTTTATTTTTTTCCTGCTTCTTTTCCCTTCCTTTCCCTTCCCTTTTCTTCTTTCTTTCTTTCCTCTTTTCTCTCTTTCTTTCTCCCTTTTTCTCTCTTTCTCTTCTGGAGAAATTAAAATGCATACTGTTAAGAAAAAAGTGAGTTATAAAACATACAAGAATATGATACTAAGTATGTATATTTAAAGCACATTTTGAAAGCCCTAGATATGTAATTCATGGTGTGTATATGTGCCTGTGTGTAGCCATGGGGATGGTGATGATGGTGGGTTGATGAGTAAGTGACAGTGCTTAGGTAGGTGAAAGATTTGGTGGGAAACCAGCAAGGCCCTATGCGGTTTTCCTTCAGCTGCTTCTTCTGTTCAAGCCATTATTGTTTTCCTAATTTTAGGCAAAGATGAGAATCATTGGTCTGATGCTCCTCAATTGCTCACTGTCATTTACTTTGTTCATGGAAGCAATGCAAGAAAAGTTTGATGAAAGTTTGAAGAAAGAATACTTGCCGAATTCTTGGTAAATAGAGGCCAGCATAGCTGAGGGGAAAAGTTCTTGTTGCTAGCATGGCTAGGGAGGAGAGAACGAAGAAGTGAGCAAATGTATCCCCTCAGGGATATATGAGGCAAAATGCCCAGTGTTCTAGGGTCCAATTTCACCAACTTTCTCAACTTTAGCAAAACCATTCATTTTCCTCTTAAATAAGAACCATTGTCATTTTCTGTGTTGCAGGATAATTAACTAACAGGGATAAGGAGCTGTTGAAATGTTAAGTGTCATTACCTGGGTGACTCATTTTTTAGAGTAGCTTTGGAATGTGATTGGCAACGTTTGTGAGTCACAGTGGGGAAAGTTTCCAGTGTTAAAACTCTAGATTTCTAACCATGCTGAACTCAGAGTGTAGAGCACCAATTAAAATTTCAGGATGCTAAGTTTGAAGCTCAACTTTTCAGAAGACATTAAGCTACCTGTGGAGTAGTGCGATATCTAGAAAGTACACCTTCAAATCTGCTGTTACCACAACTCATGAAAAATCTTGAGTTCTAATCATTCAGTAAACAGCTTCCTATTCCTTGTGCTGTTTCTCAGGAGGTGTGGTATAAATTGGCCATAAGAAAGGAAATTTAAACATTGATCTTCTACTATTAAGTATTAACTAAGGAAGTTAGCATTTATTTATTTCATGATATTTAGTGTTAACTATAGAAGATGAAAGTCAATGGTTTTTAACCTTCAAGAAATCAATGTTACTTGTACAGAAGAAACTATTTCACCTAAAACAGAAAAGGACAATAGAGGTTTAGTTTAATCAAGTGTTAACTTTTGAGATACTGGCAAAAAATGATGCCCTAGTTTTGATATGTAAAAAAGATCTCAGAGCAGGTTTGACAGAGATGAAAAGTGCCTAAGATGTGGGTAAGTAGATTAAAAGACATAGTACATTTCAAAAGGAGGAGCCCATGAAAGAATCTCATAAAAAGTAAAATTTCATTTTCTCTTTATTTTCTTCATTTTCTCCATTCATGTTATTTTAGGTCCTGCAGAGAATATGTAGTTTGACCATAAATGCTGTTGAAAGATCATATAGTTAATGCTATAGTTTTTTAAATGTAGAAATGGCTTCAGGCTGGATCTAACTGAGCAGTCACTGTAAAACATACTAAACCACAGAGAACTTGTGCAGACAAGGATTTTTAAAATGTATTTGTATGATCTCTTTGGAGTAGAGGGCACTAACAACTTAATATGGCATTTTTTTTTCTGAAATCAACAGAAATACAGGCAGTTGGATTAGAGGATTAATGGCGCCCTCATTGCCTGAACTGTTTTTTTTTTTTTTAATACTCTTTTAGGCAGCATATTGTGCACAAGGATTTCTGATTATCTTCTCTGTTATGCTTAGCAAGAACTTCGGAGGACTACGAAATTGGACTCAGTAGGTGTTTAAAAAAAAAGTTTATCAAATGCTGATAAGAATCTATCCAATTCTGGAGATTTTCCAGTTCTAAGGAAATTGCTTTATTTGCAGTATCTTTATTCCCTTGTTAACTGATTGTGTTTGTGTATTTCAAGTATGTGTCACTTGACAGGAAAAAACTATGTACTAGAAAGACAAGTTATGACAAAAAATTGTTGCTGCCTTTCTCTGGTGCTGTATGACTCCTTTATTTGTATGTATGCTCTCTACCAGAGGACTACACTCCTTGATAGGTCTTTGGAATAGTCATTAACACCTTCATGTGGGGGCAAGATACACGGGCATCCTGTGGGGAGGATAACGAGTTTGGGATTGTATTGCAGGGATTGCATTCCAGCTTCCAATTTTTTTCTATATGTCACTCATATGCAAGTAATTCTTGAGCAAACCATTCCCCATCTGTTCAGATCTTGTTATAACAAACTCAGCCATGACAGATTATGGTACATAAAACAGAATAATAAACTTTGCTCAGCTGGATGTACAAAGTAAGGTGAGAAAGGATACACAGGGCCCTCTGGCTACAGAAAGCTGCAACCAGGGGAGGAGCATTTTCTATGGGAAGTGTGAAAGGTATGGAAAGGGAAGGAAATGCAGGGCTGCCTCTTTGATAAACCACTTCTCCTGCCTGCTGATTAATGTAAACAGGCAAATTAGAGCTTTGTCCTGAGCTGTGTGTCCTCAGGTACAGCCCTCTGCTGTCTCACCTCATAAATGTCTGCATAAAACCCAAGATCCTCACAGAGCAGAATACAGGCTAGATAATGTGGCTGCCATCACGAGACGTGGCATAAAGAAAAATCCCATCATTGTGAGTTGAATAATCTCTCTAGTATATTCCAATGAAAAGACCATTTCGTTCATGACAGTTCTAAGATTTCCATAGACTACCTCTTTGAAGAGCGATTTTCAACTCTAAAGCAACCATGAGTTCACTTTTGCAGGAGCATCCTGGAAAAAGGGTCTTGTTTATAACACTTTGCTCCAAATTTTTGCCCTTGCAGGAAAAGGAACAGCATGTGTCATGAAAGTCAAAGTGAAGTTGGCATTTTTAACACCAGTGATATTGAAGAAATTGCTGTGTAGGTCACCTGTGTACCCCTTTCCAGGGGTAAGCTGTACTCTCCAATTAAGCTGATGTGACCTCATGCTGCACCTCTCCTGTCCTGAAATAGTGAGCCAGTGGCCTCCTTTGTATTGCTTAGGCAAAAAAATGCTGGGGGTTCATTTTTCTTGTTTTTTTTTTGTTGTTGTTATTGTTTTGTTTTTTTCTAAGTTGGGTAGGCTACTGTTGATGCATAGACTTTCCTTGGGAAAATCCACTGAACACCCCTCCTCCCCCACCCCCTCACCTTCCCACATCTATCACCAGGTTTACCCTTTAGTGTGTTGCAGAACTAGGCAGATCAGCAACTAGTGCATTTAGAAAATAAAAGAGTGAAGAAAATGAAACTATAATACTCAATGCAGTGGTTTCTCTCTCATCTTCCATTCATGGTCATCTTCAAAGAGAGGAGAAGGCCCA